>NC_000022.11:10510000-10784643 GCF_000001405.40 Homo sapiens
GAATTCTTGTGTTTATATAATAAGATGTCCTATAATTTCTGTTTGGAATATAAAATCAGCAACTAATATGTATTTTCAAAGCATTATAAATACAGAGTGCTAAGTTACTTCACTGTGAAATGTAGTCATATAAAGAACATAATAATTATACTGGATTATTTTTAAATGGGCTGTCTAACATTATATTAAAAGGTTTCATCAGTAATTCATTATATCAAAATGCTCCAGGCCAGGCGTGGTGGCTTATGCCTGTAATCCCAGCACTTTGGGAGGTCGAAGTGGGCGGATCACTTGAGGTCAGGAGTTGGAGACTAGCCTGGCCAACATGATGAAACCCCGTCTCTAATAATAATAATAAAAAAAAATTAGCTGGGTGTGGTGGTGGGCAACTGTAATCTCAGCTAATCAGGAGGCTGAGGCAGAAGAATTGCTTGAACGTGGAAGACAGAGTTTACAGTGTGCCAAGATCACACCACCCTACTCCAACTTGGGTGACAGAGCAAGACTCAGTCTCAAGGAAAAAAAAAAGCTCGAAAAATGTTTGCTTATTTTGGTAAAATTATTCATTGACTATGCTCAGAAATCAAGCAAACTGTCCATATTTCATTTTTTGAAATTACATATTAAGGATCTAAAACAAAGGATAAAATATCTGCAAAAATATTTGCATTTCTGGATAAATTAGTTTCCTGATTTAACTCCTTGTTGACACTGAATATATTTTAAATTAAACAAGGTGCTGATAAGACAAAAGACAAAGAAAGAAATTCAAAATAAAATTGAAAGATGAAATCAGAGCTTACCAGAGATAAAATTTCCTCTGACAGTGTAAAAGAGATCTTCATACAAAAATCAGAATTTATATAGTCTCTTTCCAAAAGACCATAAAACCAATCAGTTAATAGTTGATTTTTATGTGAAAAAAGAAACTGTAAAAGAAAAAATAATGACACCAAAATCCCTTTTAAATTCAAAGAGTCATAAAGTTTCAAAAAATGTAATTCAGATAAGAAATTAATGTCAGCTACATTCTTCCACAGTAAAGGTTTGCATCAACTTTTCAACTAATAGCTTTAGCATTCATTAGAAAACTTGTTTCAACCATTATTTTACTAGGTGTTATAACAGGGTACTACATTCTTTCATTTTTTTCTTCATTTATTAGCTGGAATAATTTCTAAAAGAACATTTCTTCCCAAATGTGTATTGATTACACCAAAACACAGTTTGGACAGGAAAAACAAGATAAGTAGACAAATGCTTGATTTTTATACCCCTCCCCACTTTTCACAGTAATGAATTAGTGCTTCAACAAACTTTAATAGTGATTAAAAACTTATTTCCCATAATAAAAATTTTAAGTTTTTGTAAGTAAATGATAAATAATAATTTATCCAGTATTTCATGAGTACCTATAACCAGCCAGGATCCATTCTCCAACAATGTGGGGAAAGGAGCCCAGTTTAAAATTCCTGTCAGGATACCAGCAAGATGATGAAATAGAAAGCCTCAAAGCCCCTCCACCCTCCTCTCCAAGGAGACACCAGCTCAATAATAATACACAGATAAATCCCCTTCGTGAAAAGTTCAGAGGAGAATTTAAAGACTCTGGATTCCCTGGTAGGCTTCAAGCCAGGCACATCAAAACCAGCAGGTAAATTTGTTGCACTCACTCATACTCCCTCAGCAGTACAACGCAATGGAGAGAAAGCTCCAAACTCCCAGCTCATCTCTAGGGAGAGAAAGAAAAGTCTAGACCATACATCCAACATTTTGACTTTTTGGGAGGGCACTAGCACCTATCTACCCTGAATCTAAGTGCTAACAGGAAAGGATGCCAGATTGCATGCCTGCTGATAAAGCCACAGTTTGGACTGTCACTCAATCACCATCGTTCCTCCTGTGACTCAGTATAACAAGATTGGGAGAATACTCTACAGTTCCTGATTCCCCCACAGAAGTGAAAGAGAATACTGCAACACACATTCAGTGTTCAGACTTCAGGGGAGTTGCCAAGTGATTGTTTTCTGTCTTGCCTGAATTTAAGCGTTAACAGGAAAGCTTTCCAGGTTGGGGATATTAAGAATAAATGAGTTGAGGAAGTTTGGGTTAGCATACATTCACTTATCATATCATCCTTCCCTGGATCAATATGCAATGAGTGGGACAAAACCCTCAACTCCTGGCTTCCCCTTGGAGAAGGAAAAAGCTGGAGTGTGCATCCAGAATTTCAACTTTTCCCAGTCAGCCTGATGGACTGTTTTCTGTCTGACTGGATACTCTTCATGTCTGAGGACTGCTGAGAACAAAAGAGAGCTAGGGGGTTATAGCAACTCCAGATAACCTACAGTACTACAGATAGATAACAAAGAGAGCAAGAGATTACATGCTCCTGAAGAAAGACCTGCAAATTTTTCTCAGAATTTACACACAATTTCAGAGACAATACATTCACAGAAAGATTTGACACACTTCAGAATCTCTAACTGGGCTGACTGGTGAAAGGATTTCCCAGTGCAAAACCAGTCTGTAAAGACAAGGAGAAGTGGTTATTTTTTTCAAATCCTAGAATAACAACACAAAATTAAAAGGCACACAAGGAAACAGGGAAACATGGCCTAATAAAAAGAAGAAAATAAGTTTCCAAATATCAACCCTTCAAAAATGGAGGTATATAAATTATCTGGCAAAGTGACATATCCTGACACATTCTCCAGGATAGATCAAATGTTAGGTCACAAAGAGAGTCTTAACAAAATTAAGACAAAGGAAATCAAGAACCTGTTTTGACCAAAAGTAGGATGAAGCAAAAATTCAATAGTAGAAGGAAAACGGAAACATTTACAAATATATGGAAATTAAACAACATACTATTGAACAACCAATGAGTCAAAGAAGAAATCAAAAAGAATATTAGAAAACAAGCTGACAAAAAAATAAAAAAACACAACATAGCAAAACTTAGAAATGCAGCAAAGGCAGTACTAAAGAGGGAAATTTATAGCAATAAATGCCTACCTTAAAAAAGAAGAAAGATCTCAAATAAACAACCTAACTTTACAACTCAAGGAACTAAAAAAAAGAACCAAGCCCAAACCCAGCAAAAGGAAGGAAATAATAAAAATTAAGCAAATAAAGGATATTTTCACACACATATTTTCATTATAACCAGAAAGTAGAACCAATGCAAGTGAATAGATTAAAAAAAAACTGTGGTATTACTATACAATGGAATATGGCAATTAAAAAGAGAAAAGACTCAACCAAATAAAATTAAAAATGAAAAAGTAGACATTGCAATTGATGCCACAGAAATAAAAAAGATTATTAGAGACTGCTGTGAATTATTATGGTAATAATTGGATAACCTAGAAAAAAAACAAATTACTGGAAATATACAACAAACAACACTGAATCAAAA
The DNA here is from genome assembly GCF_000001405.40 of Homo sapiens. Lineage (NCBI taxonomy): Eukaryota > Metazoa > Chordata > Mammalia > Primates > Hominidae > Homo > Homo sapiens. The sequence goes on from NC_000022.11 coordinate 10,513,422, forward strand.
AGAAATACAAAATATGAACAAATCTATAGCTAGTAAGGTGTTTAAATTAGTAATCAAAAATCTTCCAACAAAGAAAATCTCAGGTGCAGATGACTTTACTAGAGAATTCTGCCAACATTTAAGGAAGAATTAATGCCAATATTTCTCAAACATTCCTAAAAAGTTAAAGAAGAAAGAACTATTCTAAACTCTTTTTGTGAAGCTAGTATAACCCTAATATCAAAGCCAGACAATGGTGCTACAAGAAAAAAAATTAAATATTCCTAATGAATGTAGATGCAAAATCCTCAACAAATACCAGTAAATTGAATTCAACAGCACTATAAAGTATCATCCACCATAATTATGATGGATTTGTTCCTGGAATGCAAGAAGGGTTCAACATGTGCAAATCAATATAATATGCCACATTAACAAAATAATTCAAATAACGTGTTCATCTCCGTAGATGGAGAAAGATCATTTGATGAAATTCAACACTCTCTCGTTAGAAAAACACTTGAAAAAATAGGAATAGAAAGAAATTATTCCAACAGAATAAAGGCCATATGTAAAAACCCACATTTCACACCATATTAATGAAGAAAAACTGAAATCTCTTCTTCTAAGATCAGGATCAGGAACAAGGCAAGGACACCTTTATGAAGTACATAAAGTCCTAGCTAAAATAATTCAGCAAGAAAAAGATATAAAGGCATCCAAATTGGAAAGGAAGAAGTAAGTAAAATTTTTTCTATTCCCAGAAAACATCATCTTATATATTAAAAAAACCCTAAAGATTCAACAAAAAGCTCTTGGAACTAATAAAATTAATTCAGCAAAGTTGCAGGATTCAAAGTAAAGATTCAAAAAAACACAAACAGCAAACATTCTGAAAAGGAAATTAAGAAAACAATCCATTTGCAATGGCATCAAACTGAATAAAATATTTTGGAATAAACTTAGCCGGTGGGGGAAAGACTTGTACACTGAATACTGCAAAATATTGCTGAAAGAAATTAAGGAAGACACAAATAAATGGAAAGCCATCTCATTTTTGTGAATTCAAAGAATATTTTTAAATTCTAATACTAGCCAAAGCAATTTACAGATTTGATGTAATCCCTTGGAATTGTATAAATTCCAATGATAATTTTAGAGAAATAGAAAGGACAATTCTAAAATCCATATGGAACCACAACGGACCCTGAATATCCAAAACAATCCTAAGAAAGAGAAACAGTTAGAGGCCTCACATTTTCTGACTTTGAAATATACTACAAAGCTACAGCAATCCCAATAGTGTGATATTAATGTAAAACTAATCATATAGATGAATGGAACAGAATGGATTATTGGAACAGAATAGAAAGCCCACTGGGAGGCCAAGGCGGGCAGATCACTTAAGGTCGGGAGTTCAAGACCAGCCTGGCTAACATGGTGAAACCCCGTCCCTATGAAAAAATACAAAAATTAGCTGGGCATGGTTATGGGCACCTGTAATTCCAGCTACTTGGGAGGCTGAGGTAGGAGAATCGCTTGAACCCAGGAGGAAGAGGTTGCAGTGAGCCAAGATCACACCACTGCACTCCCGCCTTGGTTACAGAGCAAGACTCCATCTCAAAAAGAAAGAAAGAAATAAGAAAGAAAGAAAGAAAGAAAGAAAGAAAGAAAGAAGGAAGGAAGGAAGGAAGGAAGGAAGGAAGGAAGGAAGGAAGGAAAGCAAGCCCAGAAATAAACCCACATGCATATAGTCAAATGATCTTTGACGAGGGTGCCAAAACTATACAATGGAGAAAGGATAATTTCTTCAACAAATATTGTTGGGAAAACTGGATATCCATATGCAAAAGAATGAAAGTGAACCGTTATCTTAAAACTGTTCACAAATGTTAACTCCAAATGGATTGAAGACTTAAATGTAAGAACTAAAGCTGTAAAACTACAAGAAAATATAAAGAAAGGCTTTATCACATTGGTCGTGGCAATAATTCCTTGGATTTGATACCAAAAGCACAGGCAACAAAAGCAAAAATAGGTTAGGGTGATTACATCAAGATAAAATGCTTCTGTGCAAAAAAGGAAACAACAGAGTGAACAGGCAGCCTATAGAATTGGAGAAAATATTTGAAAACCGTATATGTGCTAAGGGCTTAATATCCAAAATATATAAGAAACACCTAGAACTCAAAAGCAAATAAACACATAACCCAATTTTAAAATGGCCAAATTCTTAAATAGATATTTTTCAGGAAGACATGCAAATGACCAACAGGGATATAAAAAGATACTCAACATCATTAATCATCAGGGAAATGCTAATTAAAATCACAACGGGATTTATCACCTCATAACTGTATGACCATTTTTAAAAAAAGAAAATAGCAAGTGTTGATGAAGATGTGGAGAAATTGAATTAGAACCTTATGTACTGTCAGTAGGAATGTAAAATGGTAGAGCCACTATGGAAAACAGTATGGAGGGTCCTCAAAACATTAAAAAATAGACCTACCATATGATGCAGCAATCCCACTTGTGGGCATTTTTCCAAAATAATTGAATAATTCCAAAATAATTGAAAACAAGATCTTGAAGTGATATTTGCATTCCCATATTCGTTACAGAATTATTCACAATAGCCAAAAAGTAGAAACAATCTAAAAGTCCATCATCAAATGAACAGATGAAGAAAATATGGTATATGTGTGTGTGTGTATATATATATATGTATGGTATATATATGTATGGTGTATATATATATATATGTATGATATATATAGTATGGCATATATATGTATGGTGTATATATATGGTATATTTATGTGTATATATATGTATATATGTATATATATGTATATATACATACACACACAGAATGGAATATTAGTCAGCCTTCAAAAGGAAAATTCTGTCGTATTTCAACATGTATCAAGCTTAAGGATATTGTGCTAAGTGAAATAAGCCAGACACAAAGACAAATATATCGTGATTCCATTTATATGATGTATTGAAAGTAGCCAAACACATGGAAACACAAGATAAAATGGTAGTGGTCAGGGCCTGGAGGAAACAGGAAATCTGGAGTTGCTGTTCACCAGGTGTAGAGTTTCAGTCAAGCAAGATAAAAACATTCTAGATTTCTGCTGTACAACAATGTGTATATCATTAACAAAATGTTCTGCAAACTTAAAATTTTGTTAAGATGGTAGATTTTTTTGTTATGTGTTTTTTAATTACAAAAATTTCTGTCTGTATTTAGTTTACATTTTAGTAAGAAAAGACAAATAACCTAATAAATGGTAATGATAAATGCTGTAAGGATATCTAGAGCAATAAAAGAAGTTATGGATATGGGAGTATAATTTTAGATAGTGAAGATTTCTGTATTCAAATGCCACATGCAAAAAGGACTAAGGGGAATGAGGAGATGAGTCATATGGAATGCCCAAGACACAGAAAAAGGCAGGCAGAGAAAATAACAAGGATAAAGACACTGAAGTAAAATCATGCTTTCTATGTTTCAAAACAGCAGCAAGTACACTACTGTGATAGAGCAGGAGTGACCAATGGGAGGCTGGAGATTTTGTCAGAGATATTGTCAAGGCTCAGGATCGTACAGGGACTTGTAAGCCTGGAAAGCACTTTGAATTTTATTCAGAATGAGATGAGAAGCCATTGAAAAGTTTTTAAGCAGATGAGTAAAATAATCCACCTTGTATTTTAAGAGGAGCATTCTACCTTCTCTGTGGAATAGAGAGGTGGAAGGGAAAGCTTGAAGCAGAGAGAGCAGTGAAGAGTGTGCTGTAATATTCTTATGTGAGAAATAGTGGAGGGAATGAGAGGTGGTCAGCCTTAAACTGCCATTTGCTCTCTGTATCAGGGCTCAGGGACTTTCAGACTCTCCAGGGATTCCTTACAGTTTTTACATTTGTTTCTCAGTTGCAAACATAATCTCTTCACTCTATGAGAACTCTAGATCTGAATCCTTGTTATGAGTCAGGAGTCCTCTCTAGTTTACTCTCTTGTCAGTAACTAGACTTGAAATGTTTTGATATTAATTGATATAGTAATAAGATTGGTTAGAGAAATAGCAAAGAGAGAGCATCCCCATCCTATGACCATATCAGCACCAGAAGAGAAAAACACATCTACACAGTTTTTCCCTTGGCATAGGTCCTGGTATTCTGTTAGGGAACAGGTTATGAAGGAAATACAAAGGGTCTTTGTACTTACTTTCAGAATGTATTTTCTTTAACATGAAAAGAATCCAAGGCCTTTTTGCTTCTAATTGCTTTTTGTGTATCTACTACCATCCCTTGCTAAATTATTGATAGGTTTCCTCAAATCTCGGCATGATGTCCTACATTCTAAATTTTCAATAGCTGAAAATTTCACCTTTTCAGTGCCTTCAAGTTTATCTCAGTAAAAAGTTGAGAAAGACTGTAATAGAGTTATTTAATCAGATTTTTTTCATCTACCATAATTTTTGAATAAGGAAAAACAGCAATACTTTTTCTCCTTACTTGGCAAGTAATTTTCATAGAGAGGAAAAAAACAATCAAAACAGGTACAAAATGTAACAAAACCAAAGGACCATGTGAGGTGAAATTTAAAATGAGAAAAATGTCCACAGTACTTTGGGCAATGCAACTCCTGAGAAATAGTAACTCAGCACCTGAGAGCTAAATAATTCTACAGGACTAAATATATATTCTGGTACTCAAGGGGAAAATGACATCATATAGAGTTTAGGTCTATTAAAACATATTTGTAGATGTGTAGGTATGAAAAATGCTTTTAGAGATGGGAAGAGAAAAAAAACTCATTTGTTTAACAAGTTCTGATGGGTGCTTTTCACTAAAAGAGAAACATCATAAGTTTATAACACTCAGGATGTAAATTGCGGTACATTTCAAATTACATGAGAAACTAAAGAAAATATCTGTTTCGGGTCACTGAATAATTCATTCTTATTTAGTGTTTGTCCCTAATTTCTGTGATTTTATGAATAATTCAGAGCAATGATTTTACCTTTCTCTACAGCTGTATTTGGTAAATATCCACATTATTTTTGTTGCAAAGATGCAGCCAAGTTTCTTATAATAGGAACAATGTTTAGAATGTATTTTTTCCATAATGAAAAATATTATGAAAGGGGAAACTAAGATATAGCTTACAGGGTTCTCTATTGTGATAACTAAAACATACTTAGCCTCAAGTAAAACTGACATCTTGCTAACTGTTGGTGGTGAAGGAGAAAGAAGACAACACTGAACCAGACTGGGGAAAGATGAATTCAAATTAGTTAGAGATTTGTCACCCAAAGCAAAACAAATTCAAGCTTGAACTGAGTTGACATTGGTAGTTATTATGGACTGCAAATCCCTCAAATTCATATGATGAAATCCTAACTCTCAATGTATTGGTATTAGGAGGTAAACCTTTGGGAGGTAATTAGGTCATGAAGATGAAACCCTCATCAAAGGAAAGTAGTGCCCTTCTAGAAAGAGATACAAGAGAGATTTTTCTCTCCTCCATGTGAGGATAAAATAAGACAGCCATCTGTAAACCAGGAAGACAGCCTTCACCAAGAACCCAACCATGCTGACTCCCTGATTTCAGATTTACAGCCTACGGATCTGTGAAAAACAAATGTTTATTGTTTTACTCGCTCAATCTGTGTTTTCCGTTATAGCAGCCCACATTGACTAAGAAAATACTAAACCCTTTATTTGATAGATAAAGATAGTATCAGACAAGGTATCATATGAGTAAAAACCTAAGATTTATGTGTGATCATTTTACATTGGAGCAGCTACTGAAACTTGAGACCAAAACCACTAGCTAACATCAGTATGTCAACCCAAAACATTTGGGACAGTAATGAAGATACAGCAAATGAATTGTTTTAATATATAATCAAGGCAAAGTTATCCTCAGAATTATAGGAAAAAAATCCACTAAATTTGGCTTATGAGAAATGCATGGTTCATTGTATACCTTGATACTGGGCTTAAAGCAGCAATCCTAATTCCAGATCTACCTTCAAGTCTGGGTCAGTGTTCTCAAATGCTGCCAGTTTCATGTCAGGACCGGCTTAATATTGAAGGTAACTGAGCATTGCTAATGTCTGACTGGAGCTGAAAGAGGCCAAAAGCAGGGTTATAACTTTGGGAAAACTGACCTGGTGTTAACTTCCATGCCTTCCATTTCAAACGGGAAGGTATCACAATTAGAAGCTATTAACAGTCTTATCTAATAAATTGTGGATAATTTCTTTTTTTTTCTTTTTTTTTAAGAGTCAGGGTCTCACTCTGTCACCTAGGCTGGAGTGCAGTTGTGCAATTGTTACGGAATCTTTGGGGTGTCGATTTTCTGGTTTGAAAACTGTGGTTGGTGGCATCTTTGTCCGAGTTCTTGTCCTGCATCCAGGAAGAATGGTGTAGGTAGACAAGTGAAGGGTTAAAGGAGAGGAGCTTTATTAAGTGTTAGAACAGCTCAGAGGAGACCCATAGTGGGTAGCTCCTCTCTAGGTTGTTCTGTCAAGTGTTCAGCTCTCAGCAGAAAGGGAAACCCTGGAGAGGGTTGCTCCTGTCTGCAGCTGGTAGTTCCCAGACATCTATGCAGGTCTCTGAAGCATTCAGCAGAGAAAATATCTGGCCCTCCCATTGTCTCCAGCTATCAGCAGAAAGGATAGCTCCTTCCTGCCTCTAGTCTTCCCTCCTCTGTCTTCTGCCCTGTTCTGGCTGAGTCCTGGGCTTTTATGGATGTCAGAGGGGAGGAAATGTATGCCCGTTGGTCCATGGGCAGCCATGGGCGGGCCCAGGAAAAAGCACCATGAGTTTTGCCTCCAGTCTGCAGGACTGGCAGCCTAGCCTGCAGGTGGGGCTTCACTGGGGACCCATCACCTTCCACCCAGGAGCCTGTCTGCCTCCCACAACCATCCATGGCACCCAGGCTGCTGGCATCAAGGGGCACTTGCAGGCCAGTGCCAAGCCACCCTCGTACCCCCTCATCTTCCCCTCCCATGCTCCTGCTCCTCAGTGTCCAAAGTCCAGAAGGGGCTGAGGTGGCAGGGGACTGACATGTCAGCACTGCTTCCAATGTGTGCACACCTGGCTGGGCAGTGACAGCACCCTGCTGGGTCCCAACCCCACTCTGAGATCAGAGCACAGAGCCAGGAGGTGGGAGAGACCAGGCAGCAGGAAGAGGTGCCTCCAAGCCTGCAAGGGGCAAGGGGGGCGTTCTCAGGCTCCCCAAGAGTGCAGGGAGGCCTGAGTCTGCAGCATTGGTTTGGGTGGCTGGGTGGTGGGCTAGGGTGGGGACAGAGTAGGGGAGTTGGATAAACTCCCGTCTGCTCCATGGAGTGGGAGGTCCAGGTCTACAGCTACAGCTGCAGTTTGGGCAGCTGCAGCAGCATCCAGGGAGCTCCCATTCCAATTCGGAAGGGCAGGGCTCCCACTTGTCCTCATCCTGCCAAATCCAGGGAGCATACAACCCTGGCCACACCTCTCCCCTGCAGCTGGCATGATGGCAGCAGCCACTGCCATCACAATCACAGCCTATTGTAGCCTCAAACTCCTGGGCCCAAGTGATCTTTTTACCTCAGTCTCCCCAATGGCTGGGGCCACAGGCATGTGCCACAATGCCCATCTAATTGTTTTTTTATTTTTTGTAGAGAAGGTGGTCTGTCTATATTGCCCAGGTTAATCTCTAATTCCTGGATTTAAGCAGTCTTCCTGCCTCATCCTCCTACATGGCTGGGATTACAGGCAAGAGCGACTGTGCCCAGCTCCTGATAAATCCTTTCTTAATCAAAGTCTTCATCAGCAGCCTTACTTACCACAATCTTCCCAGATGATCTCAAGTATCCAAGGAAACTAAAAGTAGCTACTGCTGACAAAACTGTTGTGTTCCCTGATATTGTGCAAGAATAAAATGATGCTAGGTCTTCTGTTAGCTAGCTCTTCTTCTGTAACAGTCTCTTTCTATGTATTAATCAAAACTGATGCAACTTTTTAAAGAACTATTCCTAGAAACTTTCTCCCTTCCCAGTCAGAATTAATGTATTATTTATCCATTTAAAGGACTATATAAGTAGGACATGCTTTGGGTATATAACAGCACTTACGGCCATTTACTTTGTGGTTCAGTGATTTCTGTGTGCTTCTGACTTGTATATACTTTCAGCCCTTGTAGATGTAGTGGTGGTAGTTTTCCCAACTTAAATTTATCTTTATCATCCACCTTTATCCACAGTCCTCCTCATGATTAGCACATTGTCAATAAATATTTACTAAGCTGAACTGAAAGTTTTTATTATGCATACCTACTAAGATGTCCATGTCCATGGTCATGCAGAACAGCAGAAGATAATTTTTTTTTACCAGTGTATCTATTGCTAACAATTGCTTCAAGGTCAGGAGCCAACTCATGTATTAGACATGTAAATCTTGTGAAAATATTCATATTGGAAACAGCATGTAGCAAGTGCAAACAGAACTAAATAAATCCTTTAATTTATCACAGTCCCTTAGAAGTATGAATTCTTCTTCTAGCATTGCATCAAATTTGATAAAATCCAAAAATATTTTATCTCAATGTTTTAAAAGTGTTGATGCTGTATACATTGAGTTATTGTACAATTGAATGGAACCCACATTCAAAGTTTTTCCTCAATGTTAAAATTAAATGGTTCTCTCTGTGATTCCTTCTGTTTGCAGTTCTTCTCATTTCATTGTTAGAATTTGCCTCTACAAATGTAATTCATTTGGCATTGCAGACGTTCTGATCTTTTCAAATGTGTATTTTGAGAGGTGCCTCATACATTCATCCTTGGTTTGTGCTGTGGGCCTAAAGTTTATATCTCTCCAAAATTCATATATTGAAATCTAATTCCCAATATGTTGGTGTTAAGATGTGAGGCTAGGCTGGACACAGTGGCTCACACCTGTAATCCCAGCACTTTGGGAGGCCGAAGTGGACAGATCACGAGGTCAGGAGTTCAAGACCAGCCTGGCCAACATGGTAAAACCCCATCTTTACTAAAAACACAAAAATTAGCCAGGTGTGGTGGCACACGCCTGTAATCCCAGCTACTCGGGAGGCTGAGGCAGGAGAATTGCTTGAACCTGGGAACCAGAGGTTGCAGTGAGCTGAGATTGTGCCACTGCACTCCAGCCTGGGCAACCGAGCAAGACTCCATCTCAATAAATAAATAAATAAATAAATAAATAAATAAATAGGGGCGGTCTTTGGGATGTGAGTAGGTTAAGGGGGTTGGGGAGCCATCATGAATGGGTTAGTCCCCTTATAAAAGAACCCATAGGGAGCTACTTTGTCCCTTTTGCCCTTATGCCATGTGAAGATGCAGCATTAAGTTTGAGAAACAAACCTCACCAGGTAACAACTCTGCTGGCACCTAGATCTTGGACTTCCCAACCCCCAGAACTGAGAATAATAAATTTGGTTTATAAATTACCCAGTCTAAGGTAATTTGTTACAGCAGTCCAAATGGACTCAAACAGGTTGTAAACACTTGAAAAATGAGTATCTGTATTGAATCGCATATTTTAGCCGTAGTTTGCTTGTAGGAGTACAGCCTATGTCCAAAGAATTAATAGCTGACTCTCATTTGAATGGCCAAGATTTGCTCTCTATTTCCAGTATTTTATTTTTGTGCCTGTATGTTGGATACAGGCAAATTTTTACACAATAAACCAGAAAAGTTCAATAGTCTTTCATTCTCTGCTTTCACTAACTTCTTTTAAGTATATTTCAACAATTATCTTAATATTAGCACCAGTAGATTAAGCATACTGTTATAAACACTCTTTCTATTTATTCAAAGCTTGAATTGAGCTAGCTGCTAATAACATTTTTTTAATTAGCATTGCAACCATATTCACCTACCATATTTTTCCCTCTCCTTTGATTTCTGGGCCATTACTCACTTTCACAATTTGTATGTGACTCACCATTCTATACCTACTTTTGCCTTACCTTAAAATATTTTTTGATTTAATATATTTACATTTTTTCTCCTTTTGCTTTTGGAATTGTATTACTATCACGGGGGGTTTTCTTTTCCTTTTTCAAGAGTTTCTCAAAATTCTTGACCAAAGCCCTATCCCCTGAAGTGAGTAATATTCTTCACTATATTACCGCATCACATGTTTACATCAGGCTAAAGTAAGAAACACTACTCGTGTTCTGTAGCTAATTGATAATTGTTAAAATAAACTTAACAATTGATAACAAATTATAGAAAATGATTATTTTAAGGTTCTTTATACTTGTAATCTTTGTAAATAATATGAGTTATCACCTCTTTCTGTAGCTAATTGTATAGGGAGCACACCCAGTTAGTGGCATATTTCTTAACACATTTCTGATATCAAGAATAACAAATACAATGCAGTGGGGAGTGGAGAAAAGAAATTAAGTGTGGCTACATCTGCAAGTAACAATTGCAGCCACATTTTGTCAAGGGTTAAACAATCGTCAATGAGCTATACACATTGTTTGTCACCAGAATAACTGAATCAAGAGGTTCCAACTCATTGTTTCATTCCCATATAGCTGAACATCTGGGACATGAAGAAATAGTGTGTATGTGTTAATAGGCAAAGCTGTAGTAATGACTTCTACATATTGGAAGCAGTTATCTATTTTCCTGTTACTATCTAATTTTTACACAAAAATACCTCAGATGAATATTGACAGAAACTCAGAAAGAAGTATGGCATAAACTAATACGAAGGTAACGTAGTAATGGCAGAAAGTTACAGCTTAAAATTTTTACAGTGGGAAGACTATTGTAATAGTGAGAGCCATGTAAAAGTTTGTTTTGAAATGATAATGTACAGCTAAAGAGTATAATGCTCAAATTTTTGTATATGAAGTTTTCGTAATTCAACAAGTAGGGTTAAGAGACAATAAGAATTACACAGAATGTTGGATTTTATTTCACGTCTGTTCCTCTTGTCAGACATTGCCATCTTTCCCATGTTTCGTCAGGTCTTCAGTAAGTTAACAACATTCACTCTGTGAAAAGTACCACATGATTTATTGTATAAATATAATTGGAAATACACTGTGGTTCCTCATATCCTCAAGCTTATAATTCAGTTTGGAGACTACACTATATAAATGTAGAAATGCCATAATTATGCTTATAAATTGATTTTTTAAAACATGCAAATTAATTTGGTAGAAACTGAATACATAAGTATGGGGGTGCCATATAAAATAATGATCAATGCCAGTGGGATTAATCAAAGAAAGTTTCTTGGGGAAGTGAATTCTAAACAGAATTTGGTATATTTGTTTATTTAGCACTCATTTTATGTTTTCTAATTATAAATATAACGTATTCTCATATTCTGAAGGTAATAAATTTGCAAATTTTAAATTAGTAGGAAGAGTAAAAGGAACTAAGATCCCACTGTCCAAAGGTAATCATTATTCAGGTTCTGTTCTTTTCCTTCCATTTGGTTCTCTGATATTTTCTTCATGGTTGCCATTACATCACATATTCAATATTATGACCCACTTTGTGTTTCAGTCAGTGTCTATACATACAACTTTGAATGATACAAATGTCTCATAGAAACTAAGTTTAATCAAATCAAGAAACTAAGTTTAATGCCAGTCTATATCAATGTACCGTTTCCTTCTAGCTAAATATTTAGGCTTTTCCAAATTTTGTTAACATAAATAACTCCAAAGATATTTTTGTTAACATTTTCTCTTAGTGTTACTTTCCTAAGGTAGACTTTAACAATTTACTATAACAAATTATAGAAAATGATCATTTTAAGGTTCCTTATTCTTGTACTATTTGTAAATAATGTTATCACTTCTTTCGAATTATTTCTTCTTGATATTTTATTGCATTGATCAGAATTCTCAGAATTGTAATATAATGTTAATTATTAAATATTACATTCCTTCTCATGTTAATAGTTATTATTTTGTAAATATGATGCTATTAGCAAATTTTAGATTGGCATCCTTAATATATTATTCAGATGTTAGCAATTGCACTTTTCCCTAAAAAGGCTCTTTTTGTGGCTTTTTGTCCCCGCCATGGCTTTTTACCGCCGCAGTATTTTGCCCCCGCCGCCGTGGGTTTCAGTCCCCGCCGCCGCGGCTTTTGGCCCCCGCCGCCACTCTTTTGACAACGCGGCTTTTTGCCCCCGCCGCCGAGGCTTTTTGCCGCCGTGGCTTTTTACCCCAGCCGCCGGTGTTTTTTGCGACTTTTTCCCCCCGCCGCCGCCCTCGCGGCTTTTTTTGCCCCCGCTCCAGATGGTTTTTGCCCCCACCACCGCGGCTTTTTGCCCGCGCCGCCGGGGCTTTTTGCCACCGCGGTATTTTGCCCCCGCCGCCGCGGCTTTTGCGGCTTTTTGACCCCGCCGCCGCGGCTTTTGCCGACACGGCTTTTTACCCCCCGCTGCCGCGGCTTTTTGCGCCCCGCCGCGGCGACTTTTTGCTCCCCGCCTCCGCGGCTTTTTGCGCCCCGCCGCCGCGGTTTTTGCCAACGCGGCTTTTTACCCCCATCACCGCGGCTTTTTACTCCCCGCCGCCGCGGCTTTTTGCCCCCGCCGCCACGGCTTTTGCCGACGTGGCTTTTTGCGCCCCGCCGCCGCGGCTTTTGGCCGTCGCGTCTTTTTGCCCCCGCCGCCCCGGCTTTTTGCTCCCGCCGCCGCCGGTTTTTGCCGCCGGGGCCGTTTGCCCCCGCCATCGCGGCTTTTTGACCCCATCGCCGCGGCTTTTTGCAGCTTTTTCCCCCGCCGCCGCGGGTTTTGCCGACGCAGCTTTTTACTCCCACTGCCACGACTTTTTGCGCCCACCGCCACGCCTTTTTGCCCTGGCCGCCAAGGCTTTTGCCGACGTGATTTTTTACCCCCACCGCCGCGGCTTTTTGCCACCGCCGCCGCGGGTTTTTTCCCCCGCCGCCGCGGCTTTTTGTGTTTTTTTGCCCCCGATGCTTTCGGCCCCCGCCGCCGCAGCGGCTTTTTGCCCCCGCCCCCAACACCGCGGATTTTTCTCCCCGACGCCGCGGCTTTTTGCCGCCGCCGCCACCGGCACGGCTTTTTGGCCGCGGCGACTTTTTGCGCCCACCGCGGCGGCTTTTTGCTCCCCGCCGCCGCGGTTTTTGCCAACGCGGCTTTTTACCCCCCTCGCCGCGGCTTTTGCCGACGCGGCTTTTTACTCCCCGCCGCCGCGGCTTTTGGCCGCCGCGTCTTTTTGCCCCCGCCACCGCGGGTTTTTGCCGCCGAGGCTTTTTGGCTCCGCCGCCGCGGCTTTTTGCCCTCGCCGCCGCGGATTTTTACCCCCGCAGCCGCTGCTTTTTGCAGCTTTTTCCCCCACCGCCGCGGGTTTTGCGGACGCGGCTTTTTGCGCCCACCGCCGCGGCTTTTTGCTCCGTGCCGCTCGTTTTTGTCCCCGCCGCCGCGGCTTTTTGACCCCGCCGCCGCAGCTTTTTCCCCCAGTCGCGGGTTTTCGCCCCCACCGCAGCGATTTTCTGCCCCCGCCGCCGAGGCTTTTTGCCCCCGCCGCCACTACTTTTTGCGGCTTTTTGCCCACGCCGCCGCGGCTTTTTCCCCCACCGCCCGAGCTTTTTGCCGCCGCGGCTTTTTGCCCCCGCCGCCGCGGGTTTTTGCCGCCGGAGCTATCAGCCCCCGCCGCCGTGGCTTTTTCCCCCGATGCCGCGGCGTTTTGCCCCCGCCTCCGCGGTTTTTTTGTCCCCGCCGCTGAGACTTTTTGCCGCCATAGCTTTTTACCCGCGCCGCCACGGCTTTTTGTGGTTTTTTTTGCCCCCACTCCCGCTGCTTTTTGCTCCTGCCACCGCGGCTTTTTGCCCCCGCCGCGGATTTTTACCCCCGCCGCGGAGGATTTTTCCCCTGGTGCTGCGGCTCTGAGGGCAGGAGCGGCAGACTCGGCTGCTAGCTCCACTGGCGTCCTGGCAAGGGCAGCGCCGAGGGGCGCTCCTGGTCCAGCTCTCCTGGCTCGGGGGTTCTTTGCCTAGGCGCCGGCGCCCCGGGCTCCCTGCCTCGGCCTCTGTGGCCTGCATAGAGCGGCGCTGCGCGCAGAGGCGATGGGAGAGAAGAAGGAGGGTGGTGGCGGGGGTGATGCGGCATTAGCGGAAGGTGGCGCAGGGGCCGCGGGCAGCTCCAGAAGCTCATTGGCATCTTCATTGGCAGCCTTCGCTGGCTGGGCACCAAGTGCGCTGTGTCGAACGACCTCACCCAGCAGAAGATACCGACCCTGGAGGTAAGGGGTTCGGGGACCCGGGCTGGGCTCCAGGAGGAGCTCAGACACCTCCCTCGGGGCCCCAGTTCACTCCTGGCCCAGTTGCATCCTTGAGCCCGCATTGCGCCCTTGGAGTCTTCCCCTCCCTCCTGCATTCGCTGATGCGGCAGCAGGAGGACCCGGGACCAGCCCTCACCTTGAGCGCGATTTGTGGGGCGGGTGCGTGGTGGGAACTGGGATGAAGGATCCAGGGTCCTGTTGGGGGGGGGTGGTGGGCTGTGCGCGGACATCCCCTTCCACCCTGAATTTCCATCTGGTCCAGCCCTCTCATCTTGTAGGTGAGGAAACCGAAGGCCTGAGGAAGAACTGACTTGCCAGGAACCCCTGTTAAGGAGAATTATCAAAGTGTGGTTATTAAAGGAGAACTGAGATGGGAGTCAGACCTGGAGGCCCACACTCTTGGTTAAGACATTATACCACCTTGAGTCTGGCCTGTTTACTGAGGGTGAGCCACTCCATCCTTGTCTGATTGTGGGGTCTTGACCTCAAGGGGTTTCCTGCAGGAAGAAGCAAATGGGTTTGCTTTCCTAGCTCTGTCCAGTATCTTAGGGACCCTGAGGACTGAAGAGATTCTTGTAGAGCCATCTGGTGTATGTCATGGGTGGGCCTTTTTTGAATGTCAGTCTGCCCAGTGAGCTGGCTCAGCCTGAATGAACTGTCTTGAATCTTTGGAGTTGTCTGTGTACTTTTAAGGGTTTCTCATCCTTGCACCAAAAGATCCCCTGGAAATTAGGTGGGAAAACCTTAACTTTTGTGGGGCCTTTTGTTTGTCTTAAAAGTTCATGCACATGGCCAGGTGTGGTGGCTCCCACCTGTTATCCTGTCCTGGATCCCTTGAGTCAAGGAGTTTGAGACCAACCTGGACAATATAGTGAGACCCTGTCTCTACAAAAAATAAAATGTTAGCCAGGGGTGGTTGTGCACATCTCTAGTCCCAGCTACTACTGTGGCTGAGGTGGGAGGAGCACTTGATCCTGCACTGAGCTGTGAGCTCACCAGTGTACTCCAGCCTGGGCCACAGAGCAAGACCGTGACTCAAAAAAAAAAAAAAAAAATGACAGGAAAAATTCTTGAAGATTTTGCATTCTGTCCCACTATCTATTGGTTTTCATGTCAAGATAATGTCAGAAATTCTTTACAATTGCTTCCAGAAGGAGTAGCCTTTTGATCTAGTGCACAGGTGTCCAGTCTTTTGGCTTCTTAGGGCCACATTGGAAGAAGAATGCTCCTGGGCCACACATAAAATACACTAATGCTAACAACAGCTGATGAGCTTAAAAAAAAAAAAAAGGTTTTTGCATAATTTTCATGATACCCACCACCACAGATAGGCGGAAAAGTCCTTGTAGTCAAAGGGTTGACACGGCTGATCTAGTGTCTGTCTGTTTTGGCTTTCTCCCTGATTCCAGAATGCAGGTAGAGATGTAGAGACATGCTCTCAGGACAGCTGTTGAGATAAAAAAAAATTCGTTGTCATTTATTCCCAAGCACAGCTGTTTCTCATTGCATTGAAAAAGTCTCCATTCAAACTGCTGTCACATAAAATCTATTTATGTAAGTCTGTATTTTTCTGTTGTCTTGGCCTTTGTAGGCAGTAGTGTGTTTTAACCGAGCAAACTATCCTTCCAAATAATGAAGCCGAAGTCAGCCTACCTGCTTGCCATTTTTCTTCCCCTTCCATTTTTGTAACCTCAGAATAATTGTAAGAATGAATTAAGATTTGTGTTTAAGGCCAGGCACAGTGTATCAGGCCTGTAATCTTAGCACTTTGGGAGGCGGAGACGGATGTATCGCTTGAGCTCAGGAGTTGAAGACCAGCCTGGGCAACATACTGAGACTCCGTCTTGTATAATTTAATTAAAATTTAAAAAAAGAAGAGAAAAAGACCTGTGTTTAAAATTTTAAAAAAGGGGGGAAAGTGTAATGCAAAATGTGGACTATGCCAGCTATGATTGGGAAAACTAGTTTTTCATACAGCATTATCTGTAGACTTGTATTAGCAGCACACTGGTCATAAGCGTTTTGCTTTCCTCAAATATGATGAGGTAAGCTAATTCAAAGTGTGTTGGGGCTTTCTGCCGCGTGGCTCCTGGAGGTGTTGAGTCCCAATTTAGCCAATTAATTTGGGTTTAGTTTTGATATGGATAAGGGAGACCAGCTTCATTCATGGTGTACACACAGTTTTGCCAATAAGGAGAAAAAAAAAGCCACCTGAATGTTCCTACTCAGAGCTCCTACCCCACCCCCACCAAGGCCCGGGCCATTAAAAAGACTCAATGCAGCCTTTCTGTATCTCATACTGTATTCTGCAAGGTACTCCTGTGAAAGAAAGTTGTGCTGCATCAGCCATCTCCCTCCTGAAGATCCCTGCGGATGAGGATTTGTGTTTTGAAGGTTCTGAGAATTCCTGCAACAACAATTCTCAAACTTATTTGTCCAGGGGATCTTTTCTTCCACTGAATGTAGTTGGGGAGACATGGCCTTAAGCCTTGAGCAGAGAAAGAGACAACTGTTGGCTCACTTACAACCAAGTGTTGTGTTTATGTTTTAGGTTTTTACGAAACTGAGGTGCTGTTTGAGGTTCTAAATGAAATTGGGTGGTTGAAGAGAGGCTGGTGTCCCTGTAGACTTAGCCAGCCATGAGAAGTTGCCTTTTGTTGAAGGAGGTGTTTTACAAAGGGAAATAGGGTGTCTCCTGGGCATCGCATTAGCACTTAAATACATGTATCACTGAAATGAAATGAAATGATGAAATGATGACATGAAATGGTGAAATGAAATGAAATAATGAAGTGAAATGATGAAATGAAATGATGAAATGATGAAATGAAAAGATGAAATGATGAATTGAGGAAATGATATGAAATGATGAAATGAAAAGGTGTAATGAAACGAAATGATTAAATTAAATGAGATTAAAAGATGAAATGATGAGATGAAATGAAATCATGAGATGAAATGATGAGATGAAATGATGAAATGATGAAATGGAATGATGAAATGAAATGATGAAATGGTGAAATGAAATGAAAAGATGAAATGATGAATTGAGGAAATGATATGAAATGAAATGAAATGATGAAATGAAATGAAAAGGTGTAATGAAACGAAATGATTAAATGAAATGAGATTAAAAGATGAAATGATGAGATGAAGTGAAATGATGAAATGTAATGAAATGATGAAATGGAATGATGAAATGAAATGATGAAATGGTGAAATGAAATGAAATGAAATGATGAAATGAAATGATGAAGTGAAATGAAATGAGAAGATCAAATGGTGAAATGAAGAAATGATATGAAATGATGAAATGAAGTTAAATGATTAAATGATGAAATAATGAAATGATGAAATGATGAATTGATGAAATGATCAAATGAAATGACGAGATGAAAAGATGAAATGAAATGATGAAATGAGATGAAAAGATGAAATGAGATGAGATGAAATCAGATGAAATGATGAGATGAAGTGAAATGATGAAATGATGAAATGACGAAATGCAACAATGAGAAGAAATGCTGAAATGAAATAATGAAATGAAACGATGAAATGATGAGATGGAATGATGAAAGGATGAAATGAAATGATGAGGAAATGAAATGATGAAATAAAATGATGAAGTGAAATGATGGAATGAAAAGATGAAATGATGAAATGATATGAAATGATGAGATGATGACATGACGTCAAATGATGAAAAGATGAAATAAATGAAATGATGAAATGATGAGATGAAATCATGAGATGAAATGATGAAATGAGATGAAGTGAAATGACGCAATGAAATGTTGAGATGAAGTGATGAAATGATGAAATGAAACAATGAAATGAAGTGAAATGAGATGAGATGAAATGATGAATTGATGAAATGAGATGAAAAGATGAAATGATGAGATGAAAAGATGAAATGATGAAATGATGAGATGAAATAAAATGAGATGATGAAATGAGATGAAGTGAAATGATGAAATGAAATGAAATGTTGAGATGAAATGATGAAATGAAATGAAAGAATGAGATGAAATGATAAAATGAGATGAAATGAAATGAAATGATGAAATGAAAGGATGAAATGATGAAATGAAATGAGATGAAATGAGGAAATGAAATGATGAAATAATGAAATGATGAAATAGATGAAAAATACTTATTCATTTTTTTTCTTGGCATCCTTCTAAGAGTATTTTAGTGTGGTTAATTTCTAAAAATAAATTGCTATTCAATGGCTATACAGTTGGCCTTTGCTCCACAGGGGTTTGAACTGTGCACGTCCACTTAGCAAAACCAACAATTCTACATCCTTATCCACACCCTGCCTATGAAAAGGATGAGGATGAAGACCTGTTTGATCATCTACTTCCATTTAATGATTAGTAAATATATTTTCCTTATGATTTGCTTTTTTCTTTTCTCTGGCATGTTTGTTAAGAATACAGTATATAAGACATATAACATATTAAATATGGGTTAATTGACTGTGTTATTTGTAAGGCTTAGAGTAGTCTATTAGTAGTTAAGTTTTGGGGGAGTCAAAGTTATAGTGGATTTTCTACTGTGCAGGGGGGCCAGCACCCCAACCTCCGTGTTGCTTAAGGGTCAACTGTACATGTTATTTCCTTTCCTGTAAGAGAAAAATGATGAGAAGGTCTTTTCTCCAATAAGTGTATTCAAAATGTAGCAGATTTGAAATGTGTTGGCGCCACCATTTTGCGTCTCACTTTGAAAACTTATTATTTAAAATCGTACTAAAGCCTATCTTACTTTTCCAACATTAGAAAAAATGTTACAAAGAAAAGGGGTGAAACCATGCTAGTTTGCCCTGAAATTTGACCTTATCTTTTAAAAATATATTTTTACATTAATTACTTCCAAAATAGAGATCAGTTGCATACAAATGGCAGGTCACCGTAATCCACCCTATGGCTGCACTTAGATTCATGAGGAATTGTGCCAACTAGAAAGGGCAGAGAAGAGGAATAGGGTGCTCTGCGTCTTGAAATATAAACATGCACATAGCCACATGCTTTGATTCTCTTGTCACTTTGTACTTACAGCTAGGAAGAGGGCATGTTTGTGTATTTTTATGCTAATTATTATCCAAATTGTTAATGATTTACGCTTTCAGAACCATATAAAGATTTTTTTCCTTTCAGATATAAACTATCTTGCATTGTTCTTCTGATCATATGAGGAATAAATATGCCTAAATATTCTTCAGACCATAATATTATGTCCATATAAATGCCAGTAGCAAGAGTAGAAACAACCACAACTGCCTTTGTAATTATTTAAAGCACGTGTGCCTATAAGTAATTGGCATTTTATATAATCAAGAATCTTTGATATAATAATCTCTCAACTATTTGAAACATGGCTCACATGTATTAATTTTTTATGCAAACATATATATAATATCAGTGTATATGAAACTAAATTTTCGAGTTTAGAACAGCTTCTTAGAATCCTGACTTAAATGTCTAAAGTAATATTTGACTTAAAAAAATTTAGCACACTGTCACTATGATGAAAAAAATTACTATAAAATTATTTAAAAAATTTTTCCACCCTAACATTTAGAATATTCTCACATTCGTGGTTAAAACCTAATGTGATTGTTCTTAGAATTTAGATAAAAAAATGTTCCAGAAAGTTTGAAGAGAAGCACTTTAGTCAATTTTTAGTTGTTGAAGCATGAAGAAATGGCATTTCATTGACATTTTAAAAATTATTCAGATTCCCTCTTTGAATTCAAGTGTTTCAAAGATATCTTATTTTAAAATACCAAAATAGGAATAGAATATGAAGGGCTGGTTATGAGTAATATGATACATATTTATGAGAGGATGAGATTACAATAACAATACCTCCTCTCATAGAATAGCCAGCAAGTCTCCACTAAATAACAGTGCCTTGATTTTATAAATGCTTAATCATGGATATTGAGTTAATGTGAACCATTTGTAGACACAGGAGTTTATTAAAGAATTATATAATATCTTTCAAGTATTTAGAATAGTGTTGAAATTAAGCCTGCATCCCCACGATTTTCAGCGGTGCTGATGCCTAATAAACAACCCCTTGCATGCCAAAATTGGCTTAAAGGTCATCTGTTACCCAAGCTACACTTCAAGCATCAAGGTTCAAAAATGTGATTTTAAATATGCAAGAGTTTGAGGAATTCACTACTCACACGTTCTTGAACAGTCTATCCAAGTGCATCAAGCACAATGTGAGTAAAGAAATTTTGACCAAAGGATTGATAGTAATGTTGAATACATTTAATAGTAGATCTAAGATTAAAAGGTGAAAGTGAGGGTGAGAAGAGTGTATGAATGTTTTGTGTTCTGACAAAGAGAATGTAGCACCCAGGTCCTACCTGCTTGGATGCATTGCCAGTGCCCACGGTAGGCCATTTTATCCAGGTTTTTAGGTTTTGTTTTGTTTCGTTTTGTTTTTTTCTTTTCAGGAGAGTTAGTCCAAGACCAATAACTCCATAACTGGTAGATTTGGAAGACTTTAATACTGCTTAACATTTTGTACATAGCTTTATAACAGTTTTCTTTTTCTTTTTTTCTGAGAGATTCTTTTCAATATACCCCATCATGGTTGAACTCAAAAATCATTGCTTATTTAAAATCTACAACTGCTGAAGTTTTGTAACGTTCGCATTCCAGGTAATTGGTTTTTTGTGCATTTTCTGTATTTTTCTCCATCAGTCTACCTAGATATTTGTTAGATTTAATATTTTAATATTTTTCTGAAAAAGTGAGCTTTTGCATTTTTAAATATATACCCAGTTGCTTTAATTCTGTTTTTTTCGTGTACTATTTCCTCGTTTTTTTGTTTTGTTTTGTTTTTTTTTTGACACGGAGTCTTGCTCTGTCGCCCAAGCTGGAGTGCAGTCGCGTGATCTCTACTCACTGCAATTTCCACCCCCCACGTTCAAGCAATTCTCCCACCTCAGCCTCCCGAGTAGCTGGGATTACAGATGCATGCCACCATGCCAGGCTAATTTTTGTATATTTAGTAGATAGTGGGTTTCACCATGTTAGACCAGGTTGGTCTTGAACTCCTGACCTCAGGTGATCCACCTGCCTCGGCCTCCCAAAGTGCTGGGATTACAGGAGTGAACCATGGCTCCTGGTTATCTCCTTCATTCTTTATTTTACTTGTTTTCTCTCTCTCTCTCTCTCACTGTTTCTCTCCTTCTCACATTCACTTTGCAGTTGTCAAATAGCCCAGGTGATGTTACAGATTGACTCCTTATAAAAGGAGGCATTACACATTACACATGCATCTTAGTGGCCTTAAAAAAGTGTTTGGTTTATTTGTATGGACTATTCACCTTTAAAATATTTCAATATTCATTAAAATAGCTTCCAACCAATATTATTAGACTTATGTTTCTAGCTTTCGTTTTTGTATTGATATCTGCCTTCATTGCTGTTTGTTTAGGAAGTATATTCTGTGTCACGTTATTTCCGTGAAAATTGTTTGAATTTGTGGTATGGTCTAGAAAATGTTAATTTTTGTAAGTATTCTGTATGAACAAGAAAATAACATGAATTATAATATTCATGTTCCTTATATAATATTTGCCCTTTTTAAAATCCACTAGCTTCTTTTAAAACTTACTCTTTTAATTTTTTCTTTTATCTATTATTGAAAGATGTGTGTTTGAAATGTCTATAATATTTGGGGGCTTATCCATTTCTACTTTCTGATATTTTTGCTTTATATAATTTGACTCTCTCTCTAAATACGTGTGTGTCTGTGTGTGTGAGAGAGTGTGTGGTTTGTGTGTATATATATATGTATGTATCAGGCTAATGCACATTTAAGTCATCACATCTTAATAACTTAAAACTTTTATCACACTGGTTAGACTAACTTATTTTAATAAATATTTCTAACTTACATTCTGTTTTGTCTACATAGCAACTTTTTAAAAAATTATATTCATGTAGTATGTTTGTATGTATATCATATATACACAGTATCTGTATTGTTCAAACTTCAAAGTTCCTGTAAATTTATATATTAGTTGCCTCTCTTGTAACTATGATAGAGACAGATGTTTTAAATTTTGCCAATCTTTGTATTTTAACAAAAACATTGTCTACTTAGGTTTAAGTTAATCTTTGATCATTTATACTTAATTTTGTATTATTAATTTGTTGTGTGGATATATATATATATATATACTGTCTCATTTTCTCCTATCAGTTTCTGTCTTCTTGTTTTAAAATTGTGACTTTTATTTTTATTGTTTTCCTAGATACAACAGAGAAATGCATAATGTCCAATCAATTTATTAAATTTCCAAAGTCGGTCACGCGCAGTGGCTCACACCTGTAATCTGAACACTTCAGGAGGCCGAGACGTGTGGATCACGAGGTCAGGAGTTGGAGACTAGCCTGACCAACATGGTGAAACCCCGTCTATACTAAAAATACAAAAATTAGCCAGGCATGGTGGCACGTGGCTGTAATCCCCGCTACTCAGGAGGCTGAGGCAGGAGAATTGCTTGAACCTGGGAGGCAGAGGTTGCAGTGAGCCGAGATGGCGCCACCGCACTCCAGCCTGGGAGAAAGAGTGAGACTCCTTCTCAAAAAAAAAAAAAAAAAAGTTGCAAAGTCATACCTTTCTGCTCTTGTCAGACAATTAAGGGGTCTTTGAATACTTCAGCCCTAATAATTTGCTTCCTAACATACATATTGCAGTGCTTATCTAATTTTAAATATCTTTTTGTTTCAACACCTAATTTTTTATTTAGATCTATCTGTATGTTTACAATATATTTTTCTCTGTGTTCATTCTTTGATTTCAGAACTTCAATCTTTCTGAAGCATGTTTTCAGAGTTTCTTTTTAGTTTCTTTAGTGGAATTCTGCTGGTGGTGTTTTGTTTTTTGTCTCTAAATATGTTATTTAGCCATAGGTTGATGAATATTTTTCTTGGTTGAGAATTTCAGAATGGCATTATTATTCTTAACAAATAATATTGTTTATTTTACCTTTCATGGTTTCAGATTTCAATATGATTAAAGGTAATTTGATTTTTCTAGTGCTAATTGAAATATTTTTCCCTGGCCGGGCGCGGTGGCTCACGCCTGTAATCCCAGCACTTTGGGAGGCCGAGGCGGGTGGATCACGAGGTCAGGAGATCGAGACCATCCTGGCTAACAAGGTGAAACCCCGTCTCTACTAAAAATACAAAAAATTAGCCGGGCGCGGTGGCAGGCGCCTGTAGTCCCAGCTACTCGGGAGGCTGAGGCAGGAGAATGGCGTGAACCCGGGAAGCGGAGCTTGCAGTGAGCCGAGATTGCGCCACTGCAGTCCGCAGTCCGGCCTGGGCGACAGAGCGAGACTCCGTCTCAAAAAAAAAAAAAAAAAAAAAAAAAAAAATATTTTTCCCTTCCTGATTGTTTACTATTTCTCTAGGAGATATGTAGAGGTAGGTTTATCTCCATTGTAGCTTGCTTAGCATGCATAGAATTTTTGAATATGCGGATTAGTGTCTTACAAGAGTCTAGAGAACTTTCAGCCAAAATACCATCACATATTGTCCCTTCCCAGTTCCCTTCTTCTAAGAGAACCCTCACTAAACACATGCTACACTTTCTCACTGTATCTTCCATGTCTCTTCATGATTCTGTCCACATTGTGCATTTTTAAAAATTTTCTGTAATGCATTCTGAAATATTTATGAACTCTCACCATGGCCATGTCTAATCTGATGAGTTCATTTTTGAGTTTTTAATTTAAAATACTATATACAAACTACTTTTCCAATTTGCTACATCAATTTTTTAGTCTCCTAAAAATATATTCATTTTTTTTAAATTTTTTGAAATTAAATGAGCTTTATAATCTAACAGTGATATTTCTACTAATGAACCTTTGTGGATCGGTTTGTACTCTTTTTCTGCTTTCCTTTCAAATGGTAGAATATCATTTCCTTGCATACTTAGATGCCTTTGAATGACAAAGATTTATTTTTCTCTGAAAATTATTATTGTGCACTTTTGCATATTAGTAAGAAGAAAATTTGCCAAAGAGAATTTGAATTTGTTGTGAGTCTTCTAAAGGCATCACCATTCTGGGACCACATTATATTAATTCTTGGCCTAAAGGTGTTTGGACATATGTTTGGACTGCACATTTAAACAGTTTTTAAATTAATTGCTGTAAATCATTAATGATTGAGTTGCTTTAAATCTGTCCAATCTCAAGTCATTTTTATTTGCCATTTCCAGGGAATGTGAAATGGGACTAATTTACCTCTGATTCTTCTTTATACTGAGGATATAAATTTTGGTCCTAGCTTTAGGGAAGAGCTCCTGTGTGATGCCCTATCTTGGGAAAAACTATGTATTTATTTACTGTCCTATGTGATGTATGACAGTAGGAATCTGCACTCATTCATTTTGCTACATGTCTGTAGGGCAAAATCAGTTTCAGTGTTTAGGTGTATTTTGTCTGCTCCCTGCATTCCCATGGTTTTGACCTTATATTTTACTTTTTTTGTGAACATACCAGTGCTTCAAATTTTTTGCAGTAATATTTTCAACTATATTATGAGAAAGAGAAAAATTTTGATAAAACACAAATTTCATGTTTTCCTTCTCTAATTGGCTTTTACTTAAAAATACAGGTAAAATTTATTTGTGCTTTTTTGCTATTTCTGTTTTGCTATTCTCTGTTTGTCTATGTCTTCTCCACATAGACACAATTAGGGAATTTTGTACACTCTTGTGCCAACTGCTTTGATAGTAACAAAATGTATTTCTCGAACTCCTAGGTATAAAACTCAAGTATCCACAATTTAAATTCTTTTTTGCTCACTTCTGTTACATTTCCAGTCTCAATAGAAATCGATGCCAATCCAGAAATACAAGCATTATTCTAATACTTCTCACACATTACTGATATAGATTAAATTTTCTAGATCTCCTTAAATACTATCATTTTTCACTACTTGTATCTTAACTGTTAAGTTCAACATTTTCTATAATATTAATATGTTGTGAAAATTTCCTTACTTTCTTACTTTTCCCAGGTTCAATGTTTTACAGTCTCTACCTCACCCTGTGAAGCATAAACATTGTACATGCTGTACAAATAATACATAGTTCATGTACTTAGAGATTGCACGATTTTTATTTGGTTGACAATAGCTAATGTTTTCTTCTTCATTTTCTATTTCCTGATTTTTCTTTATTTAGTATATACTACATTATCATAAAAATAAGAACGTTTTACAAACTAAAGCAAAAGCAACCCTAGGAATAAAATGCACAAATAAAATATATAAACATACATTTAGATGTACCACGTACCCTTGTAATTTATTTAGACAATTCTAGTACAATTTTAATTAGTCTGTGTATTATCTGTCATCGTCTTAGTATTTTTTATATAACAAATTTTGTAAATCAAAAAGTCTCAATGTCATTATAAACTATCTTGGCAGAGGTTGATCTCCAAGGAATAATTTCTCTCCCAAATTATGCCAATCAGAATTTCACTCTACCATAATTCTTTTAATGAGTTTCAGAGGAATAATAAATTTCAAAATTGTTCAAGGTACTTCTTTTAGTTCAAGTACCTTTTGACAGGTGTAAAACTGTAGACAGACTGATACAAACATATTCTAATTGACTCAAAATTATATGGGACCTATTTTAAAATCTAGATTTTAAAATGTCTTGTCAACATACACATGGTTTCCTTGTGAAATAATTGCTTTTTATTCTCTGGATAGAATAATTTAATCTTTAAACATTCAATTCTCTGTTAGAAACAAAATATTACATAAGGATATGCTTATAAAAATAATTCCCAACTAGATTTTCAGTTCAGAAATATATGTGAAAAAATCATCAATTATCTAATGGATTTCAAGGAGAAATGGGTTAGTAATTTATTCCATATGTCTCAATTTTTCCTAGACTCAAGGCTTCCTTTAAAATAATTGTAGGCGTTTAAGAAACCATGTAAACTAAAAAGAAATTGTGACACTGCCGCTTAGGTTTTTTAAATCTTTGGACATGATTCAATATATTTTTTAAATTGTACCTTAATTGGACATTGTGAGTTCACCATCTTCCTGTCAGTATTGCATCCAAGCTGATTATCATAGATTAGAAATTCAACTATCAACTGTGTTCTGAGAGTCTAAAAAAATAAATGAACGTATTTGTTTGGGTATTCTTAAAGCAGGAGTGAGGACACAGTGAAAGTGAGACAAGGAAAAGAGAACAAAATAAAACAGGAAAGAGAGACAAGCCAATACCACACGTGTTAAGAGGTAAGTTCCTGTGTTAGATATCTGGGCTTAATATTATGGGAAGCTATGTGGAGCATGCCTCAGAATTACATCACTGAATCCAGGGAGATTCTTCTTAGATACCCTCACCTTTTCTTCCCACTTCATGCCCAGTCACAAGCTCCCGTGCTGCTAGAGAAAGTCCTCAGCTAGAAACAGGTGCAAATTCTGGAGATGAGACCTTGTAGAGTGTTAAGAATGGTTTTCTTCCCAGCAGCTACAGGTAAGGAATAGGGGCTGGGCTATTAATACATCTGCTACAAACCAATGAAGCCCTTATGCTCCTTTTGGTGATCGAGAATGTGTTTAAAAATATTAGATGATCAAGAAGGGCTGCAGAAAGGAGGAAACAGAAACAAACAGCACACCTCTTGGTTTATTTTTATTCATTTCATCAGTTTCAAGGAAAATATGTTGGGAGTTCCTGGCATAGAGAATGTCACAAAGACATGTTTTCAATAGTAGTGCTATCCCTAGGGCAAAGAAGACCCAGAGAAAGCCCAAATGGCTGATGGAACAAAGTCAGACACCGTGCCACCTGTCCACACTCCTTGGCTCTGCCATCATGCTGAAGATCGTTTTAAAGGACTGGCTTCCCTCCCCCCAAAATTAAAAGAGCACAGACTGAGAAACTGAATGTAGGAGACAGCAGTGGATTATGCTGTTCTCAGGGGTCACCTCAGGTTTGGAAGCATTCTTTCAAATTAACCCATCTCAGGCCATCTGCAGAGAAGAAAGGTGGTACCTAACTTTTTTTCTTGTCAGCATTTGGTAGGGGTGTTTTATTGACCAAATATGTTCCCACAACCTGGTTTTTTGTGACTAAGTAAATATAGTAGATTTTTAAATTTTATCATCAAAATCTATAGACAATTTTTGATTAAAATAGACTCCATATCTATGTCCTGCTTTTCTTCTTCTTATTAATTACATTGCTGTATAAAAGAACAAGACTTCAGAATCAAGAATATCTTGTCTCTTCGCATTGAATTTATATACAAGGTGCTCTTTCTTTAATGCTGTCTCAAAGGACATATTTTTACTCATTAAAAAGGAAGATCGGAATCTGGTTGTATGCACTGCTCCAACATATTAATAATTAAAATTAAGAGGTAAATGTGGTCAAAGCCATAGAAAGACTGAGATGTCATTTATATTGATTACTCTATAGCACTCTACAAACAGAAATTGTGAAATAAGTTTATATAAATATTTTGTAGCATTTCAAATATTTGAGTGCTTGAAGTTTCTCCTCTTATATAGTTCAGATTATCAATTTGAAAACTTACTCCGCTAGTTAATATGTTTTTAGTCTCGTTTGAGTATTATATAAAAGCAATTTTCAGTTAAATGTGTTCCGCTTACATAAAACATTACAAATTATTGAGGATTTAATTACTTATTCATGTTCCTGTAATGTCTTTAGAAGATTTTCTTCTTATTACCTATCAATATATGTATGCTTTGTCAAAGAAAAATCAAACATATATATCATTGAAATTGAAACTTTTTAAAAGTACTTATTAATTCTATTGAAAAACCACATCCATAGGAACAATTACAATATAATATTGTGAACATGTAAACATATACCCTATGTCTATTTTATGTATAATCACATATGATTAAAAATATAGTTAAGAATTTTTAAACCTAGTATTATCAAGTAAAAATTAGTTAACTTCTGATGATTGTTAATTAAGATAAAATTATTTTGATTTGGGTGATTTTAAATAAAGAAAAAAATTACATGACAAAAATTCTTTATAAAATGTTTATGATTTTTACATTGGTTTTATCACTTTATTCCACTATTTTATTTTAAGATGACCAGCCTTGTTTAAAACACTGTATTCATCTTAATTAAATTAAATTCCATTTGTAAAAAAATTAACAAATGATTTGCTCTATTATACAGTGCGGTTGTAAACTGAGTCAGTATCTCAAGGTTTGACCCCCATTATCGTCATCCGTGGCCCTATTTGTTTGATAAATGTATTGTCTTTTTCCATGCCTGTCGCATCTCTATTGCTCTTTCATTTTTCTCTTTGTCCCTTATAGGGAGCATTGCCTATCTCTAGATTAAGCAAAAGTTGCATCTTAAAAAAGCACAATAACCTGCTCAATCTTTCTCACACAGAGAAATGTTTGTTAAGTAATTAAAGTGTAGATGATGATACAAAGAGCTTGATTAAATTAGATGCCAAAGTACCCTTGTGATTCAGAATATGAATGGTATTTAATTTCTTTGAAATCATTAATTGCTGAGTGACATTAATTAATGCCAATATTCCAGAAGTTGTTCTAGTTAGTGAAATGTATGCAACATGCAAAAGATTCAGAACTCTGAAGGGCAACATTATTCTATAATTAAGAATTAAGAATTAATTCACATTAATTATTGGGGAGAAATAATTATTAAGAATTAATGATTGAGAAAATGTTTTTATTTTTTATTTAGAAAATTATTTTGTACATGAGCATTACCGCAAGTTTTGCAAGAAATATAAATTTAAAGAAACAATTATGTGCACAAGGTGAATTTAATAACATCTTGATATTTTCCACGATTACAGTTTTATTTGGTAAATCTATAAAAGCACATCTTCTAAAGATAATAAATGAATCTTGGAAATCTTGTAGGTAAAGGTAAATATTAGGATGCATCCAATTACATTTACACACACAGTTACATTTACACACACATACATGCATACAGACTGATACACGTGTGTGTGTATATATATATATATGAATTTACTAATTGATTTTAACTAATATTTATAAGAGCCAGTTGGATTGATATATATTGTTGAACCTGAAAAATATTTATTATATACATGTTTAAAATACACACAGAAATAAATAGTAATTGCACCAGACATTTGAAACTGTACTAAAATATAAGCTGTGAACATTTTGTGATCATTACAAATTCTTACACTGAATATTTTTATTTTTACAATATTAATATGTTTGATATCTGTGTACATTTTTTACAATGTGTTATTTTATTTTTGTCATAGAGTCTTGTCATGCATAATAACATTTCAGTCAAAGATGGATTACAAATACAAAAGTGGTCCATGAGATTATAATACATATTTTTACATACTTTTCTACGTTTAAGTATGTTTAGATACATAACCTCTTACCACTGTGTTCTTATTGCCTGCAGTATTCAGTACAGTAAGGTAGTACACAGGTTTGTAGCCTGGGAGAGAGAGGCTATACCATATAACCTAGACGTGGTAGGCTGTACAATCTAGGTGTTTGTAATATTCCCTGTGATGTTTGCAAAATGATGAAATTGCCTATGGATGCATCTGTTAGAACGTATCCCTATCATTCAGTGATGTGTGGCTGTACTAAAATGCTCAATGTAAGTTTCAATGCCCTCCATAAAACTGTTGTACTGTGAAATACAAATCTCTCACCCATGGCCTGAATATGTTTGCAAACTAAGCAGATCAGGGGAAGGAGAATGTGCTGGCATCGCTGGGATGATTTTCTCACACTACATGAATAATATCTACAGACTTAGTGCATATGAGTCACTTGCATAGAGTTAAAGTAGGCATCTCTTTGCTGGGAAATTTATCAAATGGGAGTATGTAGTGTTTTTAAAAGATACTTGTTTGTTTGTAGCTGGTAGGCATACAGTGGCTCATGGCAATGGTTAAGGTTGCTAAGATTTGGTGGAAGAAGGCAAAATGAAATGGCCACTTATATGGTATATGGTATATGGATCACTTGTTTCTGTTGAGTTACAGACTCAGCTGGCTATTTCTCCCAATGTTAGTTATTTGGAGAAAAAAACGTGATGGTAATTTTGGAGTAACAAATACAATATTTGATGAAAGCAAATTTATTGAGGGTTAGACAAACTACAAGATACTTTAAGCTGCAAAGTCAACACGAGACTTCTGGCCCAAATTGTGCAGAGTTTGCGTCCAGCAGCAAAGTTCAAAGGAAGAGGCCATATAAGACGATTCTCACTTCTGACACCAACTGCCAGTTCAGGGGTTTCCCCTGAACACACTCAGTTTCAAGAATTTACTAGAAAGACTCACAGAACTCATTGAATGCCATTGTACTTACGGTTTATAATAGAGAAAGGGTAGAAATTAGGACCAATTGGAGAGACATATCATATAAGGTGGAATCTAGGAGATTTTGAATATTAAGTTTCCATTGTCTTCAGGACATACTACCTGTAATTGTTGTACAGCAATAAACATGGAGTACTACCAAGCTGGGGAGCTCACCTGATGCTAAAAAGACACTATTTAGAGAATGAAAAGACAAATGAAAGGATGGGATAAGATGACCTTCCACATTAAGGCACTGGAAAGAATAAAAAACTAAACCTAAAGCAAGCAGAAGGAAGAAAATAAAAATTAGAGAAATTAATAATTTATAATAATATTTGTTAGTGTTGAATAATTGATATTAATTCTTGACTAGCTTTTTTAAAAAGAAATATTCACTTCCCAATTTACTCTTTGGGGCCAGTGTTACCTTGATACAAAAATTAGTCCAAATAGCATAGAAAAATAAAACTACTATAAGTATAAATGCAAAATTCCTTAAAAAATACTAACAAATCAGAACTAGCAACATATAAAAGAATTATACACTATGACAAAGTGAAATTTATACAAGTATTCCCAGGTTGGTTTAACAGCCCAAAATCCATTAAGGTAATACATCTTATCCATAGAATAAGAAACGAGAATTGCATGATCATCTCGATAGATTCGGAAAAGACATTTAACAAAATCCAAATGCTTTAATGATTAAAAATAAAAATAAAAACTCAATGAACCAGGAATAGAGAACTTTCTACACCAGATACATGACACCTGTGAAAAGCCAACAGCAAGCATGCAACTTAATGGTAAAGGATGCTTTCCCGCTATGGTCAGAGATAAGAATAGGATATATAATTTGACCTCTTCTAGTCAATACTGTACTAAAGATTTTATGCAGGGCAAATCGGCAACTAAAAAAATAAGAGTCATCCATATTGAACAGGAAGAAATAAAACTGAAAATAACATTCTTGTATATAGAAAATGTTAAGGAATCCACTGAACGATAGAACTTGTAAATTATTTCAGCAATATTACAGCATACAAGATAAATGTACAAAAATCAATTGCACACATCTACAATGAAAACCCCAAAATGAAATTAAGAAAACACTTCAATTTAAAATAGCATCATAAAAAGAAATAATAATTAATTTGGAAAATGTGATACAAGATTTTACTCTGAAAATTAAAAATTATTGTTTAAAGAATATCTAAGTAATTAGCAAACATCTTACAGCCATGAATTGGAAGATTTAATACTGTAGTACTTTACAATTTGAACTACAGATTTGATGAAATCCCTGCAAGTATTCCAACAGACTTCTGTCTAGAAACTGACAAGCTGATTCTAAAATACACATGGAATTGTAAGGGACTCAAAGTAGCCAAAATAATCTTGAAAAAAGAAAACATATTAGGATAATTCACACCCCCATGCTCCAAACCTTACTGCAAAGTATCAGTAATCAAGACAACAAAATACTGATGAAGGAAAAATATATAGATTGATGGAAGAGAATTGAGAGTCCATATATAAAACTATGTGTCTATGGTCAATGGATTCTTACAGTGGTGCCATGTGCAATTCAATGAGGAAGAGACAGTCTTTGAACAAACTGGTTCAACAACGTACACGTGGATCACCACTTGCAAAATAATAAATTGGAACCCTTACCCCAAAGCATACAAAAATATTAACTCAAATGAATTAAAGACACACATGCAAGAGCTAGAATAAAACATATGGGAAAATCTTCAGCATTTTGGATCTAGCAAAGAAATAGCTGTAACATCAAAAACATGAGCAACAAAATAAAAATTAGATATTTAAAATTTCTTAAAAATTAAAGACATTGGTGTTTCAAAGGACAACCAAGCAAGTCAAAAGGCAGCTCAAAAATTGTGAGAAGATATTTGAAAAACACGTGTCTATATGTCTGTATATATATGTATCTTGAATATAGAAAAATTGTTTTAACTCAGTAACAAATATCCCAACTCAAAACTGATAAATGATAGGAATAGATGTGTTTCCCAAGAAGATACACGAACGGCCAATAATCCCATAAAAAGATACTCAATAGCATCACTCATCAGGCAACTACAAATCAAAACCACAGTTAGATACTCTATGGCTAGAACTGGCCACTTTGTAAAATAATTTGATGGCTTCTAAATATATTAAACATAGAATTGTCATATGACCCAGAAATTTATTCCTAGGTATACACCCAGATTATTGGAAAGAGGTGTTCAAACACAAATTGTACATAAGTATTTTTAGCAGCAATATTTAAAATAGCCAAAGGCTGAACACAACTCAAATGTCAATAAAAATATTATTGGATAAACAAAATGTTATATCCATGAAATTGAATGTTATACGGTTATAAAAAGAAATAAAGTACCAATACGTACATGAACCTTGATAGCATTATGCCAACTGAAAGAAGCCAGGCAGAAAAGGCCACCTATTGTATGATTCTATTTAGATGAAAACAGAATAGGAAAGTCTATAGAGACAGAAAACAGATTTGTGGTTGCTTAGGATTGAGTAGGGGATGAGTGTATAGGATGTTAACAGCTAGAGAAGGTGGGGTTTCTTTTTGAAGTGATGAAAATGCTCTAAAATTCATTGTGATGATGGCTCCACTTATCTGTGCATATACTAAAAGCCACTGACTTGTAGACATTAATGTGTGCACTCTACACTATGTAAATTTTATCTCAATAAATCCTTTCAAAAATACACAGAAGAGTAAGGGGTTTTGGAAAGTTGCAGCTGGGAGGCAGTTTGAAATACTGAATAGGCCTCATCGAGAATGTGAAGTTTCAGTAAAGACTTGAGGAAGTTGAATGAGCTGATCAATGGATATATGGAGGGCTATCTTTCCAAGCCAAGAAATTAACTAGAGTCTTGGTCATAAGGCAGCAGAGTGTTGGCATGTCCAGAGGACAGTGAGGTGGCCAGGACCACTGGTAAGATCAAGGGTGAAGATATAAAAGAATTTTGGCGGTTAACATGCGGCAGATCATGATGGGGTTGCAGACCATTGTAAGAATTGTTGTTTTTAGTGTACATGAAATGGGGAGACAAATCATTATCCCATTATCAATATTTTAATAAATTGGATCCATGAACCAAATGCAATGAGATTAAATCAATTAGTAATAATATGCAAATTTGTATTAAAATTACAAGAATTATTTGCACATTTGAGAACAGGAGAGTCATGATTGTTTATCAGCAATAATAAACATTATTAATTTTAATTGTGATCAGCTAATTGAGATTAATTGCAATACATCATGCTTTATAATGTGACTGTCAAAAGGAAAGTATGATTGTAATCTTATACTACATCTATCAATGCCTTTGATTCATAAGACTATAGAGTAAGCCCCTAGTTTTCAAAGCCAACTTATGAGGCAGTGACATCTTATGCAAATTTGCTGCTTTCTGCCACAGTGATCCTTGGTCAGCTGGCACAAATTGTTTTACAAACGCCCCTAGGTCTAAAAATAGTTTGGATCACAATGAACACAGAAACACCTTCATCCCTTCAGAAATACCTATCAATTACTTCCAATACAGAATGAAAAATTGACAAAGGAAATATGTGGATTGTAAAAATGCCAGTTAGCTTGCATCTACATCAAAGAAAAATGCCATTTTTATTACATTAGATCATTGTTTTACATGAGTTTTGGTATAGCACAATGTTGAACCAAGGGCAAAGAGAGATGAATTAATGATATCTTGATTAAGATATCAAGAATTTGAAAGAAAAGGCAGGTCATCTTTGAAGGTTAGTGACATAGCATTCATCTTCTGTTGTCACCTTTTCCATCATGCCCTGTATGCCTCATGGACAGGTTTCACTCAAGTTCAGAGAACAGCATGCAAAATTAGCTACCAATTAATCTTTATGAAGTGAGCTGCATTTCCTGCCAGACTGAGCTTACGTTTTAGCAGGAAGCATTTTTGGGAAATGTTTATGTTAGAGTTTGCCCTTCTTGACAAGGTGAGACATAAATGTCTACTTTATAGACATGAATTAAGATGGGAAGATATTTGGGGGAATCATTTACTCAAACGCTAAATAATAAAGGTACACAAAGG
Source organism: Homo sapiens (assembly GCF_000001405.40). Classification (NCBI taxonomy): domain Eukaryota; kingdom Metazoa; phylum Chordata; class Mammalia; order Primates; family Hominidae; genus Homo; species Homo sapiens. The sequence goes on from NC_000022.11 coordinate 10,548,271, forward strand.
GCAAATTATACTAGATTTCTTTCCCACTTGTTTTGTATGTCTCATGCAGTTCACCTTGATTCCCTTCAGTTTCTGTTTAATGTAGAAAGTGGCATTTTCATTATTTTAAGCTTCTAGCACAATGAAAGAATTTCTCTTTTTCATGAACAGGATCATAAATGAAAGGGAGGAAGAGTGTCCTATATCATATTTATTGTTCAACAAAACGCTGCTCCATGGCTTAAATTCAGTTTAAAAAAGAGAATTTATTGGACATCTAACACATACATAAAAGATAGTAAAGACAAATGAGAAGAGCGCAGGATATTGAAGTATACAGATTTCAATGCTGAGTTTTATATCTTAGGAAGCTACTCCACCTTACAGAGGCTCAATTTCCCGTGATTTAGGAAGGCGATGCTAATGGGTATTGCATAGGTGTAAGTATAAAAATGTTGTATTTAAGAGAATCCCACAAGCTTGGTATAAGGCAGAAAATAAATAGATGTGACATGAATAAGTAGTTTATTACATTTGTATTCTACCTGCGGACTAGAGGAAGCAAGAAACACAGCCACTATGCTTGATTAGCATTACAGAGATGGTACAATGATGGTTGCCAGAAGCTGGGGGGAGGAAGAAATGGGGAAGTATTTTTTAATGGGTATAGAGTTTCAGTTTTACAAGATGAAACGAATTATGGAGATGGATGGTAGGGACGGCTGCACAATGTTATGACTCTATTTAGTACCACTGAACTGTACACTTAAAATGGTTAACAGAGTACATTTTATGTTATGTGTATTTTACCACAATAAAAAAATAAAATACCTTAGGAACATTTTCATGAAAAAGCCCACATAAAATTCATTTTAATGCACGTGTTTATGCGTAGCTTTGTATTTTTCTCTTTTCTCTTTATCTTCCAAATTCTAATCAGAGAAGAGAATCACCTCTGTACCTCCAGGATATTCAGTAAAGACCACTGGAGTTTCATGCCCTAGTGACAGTGCTCATATAGCTCCAAATTACAGATGGCTCTAGACTAACTCCACAAAGTTTAAAGAGAAGATTTAAAACAACAACAGACAAATACTCATCCTGAAGTTACTGAACTGCCTGCCACAACATTGTTCAAAGGTAGCCAATAAAATCTAGATAGTCAATAGCATAACATCAAAAAAACCCCCCCCAAAAAAACTCTGACATGCAAAGAAGCCGTAAGATATATATACTTAAGACATATATTAACAGGATAAAAATAAGTCATTTATAAATGACAGAAAAGAAGGAAATTTCAAGGCCCTTAAAGTAAACATATTTTATAAATACATATAGGTAAATACATATATATGTCAAGGCACTTAAATGAAAATTGAACATAGAAAAATAGAAGTTATAAAATGAAAAATGTGACATGTATAGATGAAAAATAAATATTAGAAATAAAAATTCCATGAGATAGAATAAGTAATGGATTTTACCCAAACATCAGAAAATTTATAGAAAAAAATAGAAGATTTACAAACTAAAGGACAAAGGGTAAACTAAAATAAGAAAGCCAGAAACTCACTGATACATCAGACAATATGCAGCAGTGTAACATACATGTAATTAATATCTCAAAAAGGATGGGTGGGGGAATTATAGGTGAATAAAGAATGGTACACTCATTCCTGAGGGCACCGAGGAGGGAAGATAGCTTTAGATTTCTAAGGGAGGGTATTATCCATTCATGAAGGTCCAACCCCATGACCAAACACCTTCCAGTAAGCCCCACCTGCAACATTGGGGATCAAATTTTAACATGAGATTGGAAGGGGCAAGCATTCAAACCATAGCAAGAATTAAATTTCCTTTTTAAAAAAATCACTGATATGATTCCATTTTGCCATAGATAAAAGCTTGTATTTCAGCCTACCATTGAGTGTGCTTATAGCTCACCAAAAGGGCACTCTGTCTCGGGAATACAGATTTGCCTAGAGGTATCCTATTGCAGTCAAAGAAAGAGCAATGAGGGATAGAAAAGGTTAGTGATGGAGACACCAGCGCTGCATTTTGCAACAAACAATGTAAAAATTTTACGGATTGGTTCTGCTAACTTACTACAGTTTGCATTCCTCTCAGGTGGGAGAATTGTTGCGTTTTTTTCTTAAGATAGAAAAGCAATTCAGATAATCTGAAATCTCCACAAGAAGGAAAAGAAGCACAGCAGAAACTATTCTAGGCAGGAAGTCAATCCTTTCAACAGTCTGTGCTCCATAGAAACAATTGTCTGCACTGGAAGTCATATGAGATACAGACAACAGCCAGAACTCTGATCCTCTCATTAGTGATTTCAGAAGAAATTACCAGTCAACTGAGTAATTCACTGAGTAAACATTTGGCACTGAAAGAGGTTAGACGGATAACCATTTGTATCACCATATTCATGAAGCTGGAATATTTTCCATTACTGGTATCACATCCAAATGGAAGATGTTAAAAAGTCTCTCGTCTTGTAAGATGGATATGAAAGAACATTTTCTGGGAAATGAAATTATTAACACACCTGCGAGGTGGATGGAAGAGAAAAAAAAGAATAATCAGCTGGAGTTCTTCTCCTTGATAAGACAACTCACTAAAAACATAAAGAGAAAAATACAAGTTTAAAATAATTAACCAGAAGAAGACGACTCAAGAGTTTTTAAATTGCTGATAAGATTTTAATTTGCTCCAAGTTGAAAATAATTATATTGCTTGTGTTTTAAGGCCCATAATGAGCAATTATATCACACATGATAGTTTCAGCAGTACAATATTATCCGTTAACTGCTGGAAATCATAAAAGCATAGCACAATGTGAAGATGGAATTTGCTAAAATAAACCATCTGCTGAAAACTACTATTCTGCAAATTTAAAAATAAAGTTTAAATGTTATTGGTCTTATTTAATAGGTCTGTAAAAAAATGCGCTATTTGAAAAGTAGCTGCTACCTTAATTAATTCTTCATATTAGACGGCTGGTTACAGTAATGCACAGTAAGGTGCTACTTAGATATATTGCTAAATTTTCTGCATATACTATGTATTTGGCTTAAATTATTTGAAATTTTATAGTTAAAATAACAAATGTATATTTCAATGTTTTGACACAATTTGCAAATATACCTTTAAAGAGCGTCTTACACTCTAAATATTATTTGTCACCTACATATTTGTCTTTTCTCTATAGGAAAGTTTAAATTTTTCCCTTGAAGCTTTAATTATTTGAGTCTATAAAACAAACTGATAATGTACAAATTAACAGAAAAAAGGTTTACAGATATGTGCGCAAGTATGCACTTGCAGTTTACATAATATATAAAAATATAACTATACAAATATTTGTATATTATAAATAGATATACAAATATATGCTATATATATAAAAACTCCAGGAAAGGCAAGGTAGTCAACACGCCTATGCTGTCTTGACGTTACACAAAACACAGAGCTGTAGGTTGGTAAATCAGGCTTTGCGGAAGACAGGTGAAGACAAGGAAGAAAGAGGAGCCTGACAGCAGAGGTGGTCTTGTTACATGGATGAAACCTCACAGGGAGCAGCCCTCCTCTTGGGAAGTATAGATAGGAATTGGTTTTTAGAAATGTAAACATGCCAGGCTCAGTTAATCTTTCCTAAACCCAGACAAGGGAGTATCTCAGGGAAAGCCTGTCTACATCAATGCAGATTTTCTCTACAAATGCAAATCTCCCCAACAAACACAGCTTTTCAGCTATTCTTGTAGAAGGAGCTATCTCCAGTCTTCCGAGTAGCCATATTGAAATATGTCAAAAAGCTGCCCAGGTGCATGCCTGTAATCCCAGCACTCTGGGAGGCTGAAGTGGGTAGATCACCTGAAGTCAGGAGTTGGAGACCAGCCTGACCAACATGGTGAAACCCCGTCTCTACTAAATACAAAAAATTAGCCGAGTGTGGTGGTGCATGCCTGTAATCTCAGCTACTTGGGAGGCTGAGCTAGGAGAATTACTTGACCCTGGCAGGCTGAGGTTGCAGTGAGCCAAGATTGTGCCATTGCACTCTAGCCTGGGCAACAAAAGCAAAACTCCATCTCAAAAAAAATGTATTTTAGGGTAATATTTTGAGTATCTTTACCTCCATATGTACAATAAATATTATTGTGATTTTTAATCTTTTCTGTGGAGAAAACACAGGTGTGATTTCTAGTGTAGCTGAACATCGTTTATTTGACAATATTGCACTTGTGTGTGGGTGTGTGCGTGTGTAGCTACTCTTTAATTTTGTTCTTACATAATTATTAGATATTAACAATTAATTCAGTAAAATATGTTTTGCAATATTTCTCCATGTTATTATGCTTTAAATTAGTTTAATCATGCCCTTATAATGTGTACATTTTAACCTTTGACTATAGGTCTCAATCTTACTTTGGTTTTTGTATTTGAATTTATGCTAATAAAGTCCTACAGCTAAAATAGATTATATAAACTTATCTACATTTTTACTAGTATTCTGGTGTCATTTTAAATTATGTAATGAAATCAAATTTTAATTTGGATTATTGTTATCTGAGTTAAGGATCTAAATTTTCAATTTCTTACAAATACTACATAATTATTTCTGAAACATATATTGACTAATCTCCCCTTTATATGATGTGCATTATAAGAGCTTGGGATTGTTTCATTTGCAAAGATGAATGCTTGAGAAGTAGATATTTAATCATAACATTTTAAAATCTACTGGATAACCTAGAATTGAAAAATAGCCTATAGGTTGAAAAACTCCTGTAGTGAAGAAAGAAAATAACTAATATACAGTGACAATATAAATATTATAAGTATTTATTTTATTATCGCCCTGAAATTTGATAATACAAACATGTAATATCTACATATCATCCATATATCAGGTAAGAAAAAATCAATGCACTCTTCAAAAATTTAGCATAACAGAAAATGCACTCTCTCTCCTTGATGGAATTAAGTTACAAATAAAAGTAAAAATAAGTAGATAAGTAGATGGAAGTAGATGTTTAAAAACAAAGAAAAATATTTGTTTTGGATAACATAAAATCTCAATTGACAATTCCAATATTTCCAGAACTTTGGCTGTCAACTGGTGGAGAGTTTTCCCCAGGAGACATTTGTCAATGTCTAGGGTTATTGTGGGGATGTCAAGACTGGTGGAGGTGTGAAATTTAGAGGTCAAACGAAACACCTAGCATTGCTAGGGCAGCCTCCCACAACAAATAATCCTCTGGTCCTAAAGGTAAGTAGCACCAAGGTTGAGAAACCATAATCTAGAGAGTAAACACTATGTAGCTATTCCAAGTGCTCAGGAAAACACATCAGTGCTCTCGAGAGGAAAAGTGTAAACATTTTAATTGCTGTACATGGTGACACAAATCCATGTTGTTAATCTAAGTGGAAGGGGCTGAAGCACAAAACGTAATTCAAAGAGTTTACTTGAGCCACAATGAGGACAGCTGCCTGGAAGAAACAGACCCAAGTATCCTTGGATATGAACTCCCTTTGGAGCTTTGCAACAAGCAGTTTCTTAAAGGCAAAAAAGGGTCCAGAAGTGGGATGATGCAAAGAGGTTTGTCACAAATTCTCATTGGCTTATGGAAATAACATCTATTAGTGATTGGCTATACACTGTTACACTATTATTGGGTGTGGATTATAGTGTCTGGTGTGGCTTTATTGGTTAATTTATAGCTACTGTGGTAACAGCGGCAGCCTAGATGAACACACAGCTCAAAGAGGAGCAGGACAGAACTGCTGTCTCATTTGAATATCTCTCTGGGCCTGATTATTTCAAAGGACTTGCATTTCTCATATGAAAGTTATTTTCTTTTCTCAAGGTCCATAAATGAGAATAAATAGACGTAAAATAGATCTTTTCGAGGATGAAGTAAATAGAATGAAAAACAAAACCCAAGCTGACCAGAAATCATAGAGGGAAGAAAAGGTTATAAATATATGGATTTTTCAAAGTGATTTTAAGCTATTAGGAATCAGTTAAATGTTGGGGGATGTTGTCTGAGAATGGGCTAAAGGAGAATGTCCCTTTTGCCTTCTGAAGTTTCCCTGAAAATCACTAATAGGAGGCAGATAAATAGTAGAAAAGGCATACAGGTTTCTGCAATGTGTGTACACTGGAGCCCTTAGAACGAAGACCCAGACACACGATGCATGCAGAAGCTTATCTACCACATGAAGTTTACAGAAAGAATGGGGTCTTGGATCACAGGGAAAAAAAAAAAAAGGTTATGTGAGAAAACGACCCTGGCTAGCAACAGTGGACTTATTACATAGGTGGAACCTCACTGGGAGCAGTCCTCAGAGAGAATAGACAGAAAATGTTTCTTTCAGACCTTTGGAGACCTCAGACTCTAAGTTAACCCTTCCTAGATCCAGACAAGGGGGCAGACCTCAGAGAAAGCCTGGCTGCATCAAGGCAGATTCTCTAACGGTGCAAATCTCCCCAAGACAGCTTTGCAGCTAAGTCTGCATTTCCAGCCCTTCTCAATAGCCATTTTGAAATATATCAAGGAAATATATTTAGGGGTAAAATATATTAGTTTCCTTCATACAGCTATAAAACATACAGCAATAATTTTTGTCAATGTCTACTACAAATCCAATATAGCAGTAAATATAAAACCCACCAGATATTGAAGAAAAAATATGTAGAGTACCTCAATTGCAAATGTTGATACTAAAATGCCAAATAAAATAAAAATAATTTCCAACAATATTTGAAACAGTAACACAACAAATTGGCAAAAAAAAATAAAACAAATATCCACCTTGGGGATGAAAGTGTGTTTCCAAATTTGGTAATCCAATAATATTAATAATCATATTGATTAGCCCAAATTAAAAATAAATAGTGGATTCTCAGTACATGCTAAAATATATTTGTTAAAAAGCAATATTCATGTCTTTAGAGATTTTAAATGCTATAAAGAGTCTGATATTCTATAGGCAAACATGTGTATGTCCATTAGAAGAAGAGAGGTCTGATTTTCATATATTACTACATAGAGATAGAGAAGTGGATAGATTAATTTGCATATGCATAGAGAAAGCCTAAAATAGAAATTCACTATCATATTAAAGGAATTTTAATTCAACAATAAAATAATTCAAAGGTAAAATTTTAAATATTTTTAACAGGTACATTATTAATATTAGATAATATTTATAATTGTGAAAATATTCAATGCTAAAATAAGATGCAATGTCTAAACATCAGTATTAAAACTAGTATAAATATTTGCTTGTTTATACAAGGAAAATTCAAGCTCGACCTAAAATTATATAGGAAATAAAATAAAAATTTTAGGGGAGCTCTTTAATAACATAAACATATATATACACACACACACATATAACATGTATATATGTTATATGGGATAGATATAGATTTAACATGTTATATCTATATTTGTATCTATAACTACAGCTGTATGTATCTACATTTCTATATATTTACTCAGTGACATAAATATAGACTGGAATAAATATAAAGACACATATGATTCTTGGATAAAAAGGATTTAGTATCATAAAGACAAATTCTTTCCAAATTCACTTATGAATTCACAACAATATACAGTTTCATTAGTATAATTTAAAATTTTAGATAAATTCCAAGATTCATTTAAAGGAATATACATGTATACAAGCAGTCAAGAAAGAAGCAAGAGTGCACTAAACTAACTTGCTATTAAAATACATTTTTAAACTTAGTAACTGAAACTGAGCAGTACTGATTTCCAATACTGGAATTTAGGTATATGGGATCTCAAAAGCACAGAGCTCAAAGGAGACCCCTGTATGCATGAGAGCTTAGGATGTGCTTTAGAAAATATTACCAAACCACGGGCAAAGTTACTTTAGTGTCTTAGTCTTACTAGGTTTGAAAAGCCAGAGAAAAGACTCAAGACCACCATATAAGAGCAAAACAAAAGGACAGGGAGAGAATGTGAAGATACTGAAACATTTTACGTAAAGTTGTATAAAACATCCTTTAAAGAAAATGTGAAGTTTAGGATATACATCAAAATCAGCAGAGCCACTAAATAAATAAATAGGCATTGTAAAACAGCAAGAGAAAATTTAAATGGATTTCTAAAAAATTATGACACCTATGATTTTTAAAATATGTTTAAGAAATCCCGTATTTCACAGGGCAGCCTTTCACAACACAGATATGTTAGGACATAAAGGTCCTTCTGTTTTTAATGTACTAGAGGTTATAGGGTTACAAATGTCTTCTACCCTTGTCTTTTGTCTGATGGTGCAAAAAAATTTCATAAGCATGTATTTCTGAATGCCTGATGGATTGACATATATAATATGCTGCTAGTATTAAAATATGTGTCGGAAAACACATCCAATCTTCTCACTGTTTACATAAATTCTAGGTTTCTCCTATTTACCTCAAACACGTATGGAGCGAATTCTTACCTTTTAATATTGCCATGGCATTCACATTGAACATAAATTGAACTCTCTCTTATGGTAGCTGGGTTCAGATTCCCTTGACAATTTCCAGTTCTAACCCTCACAGTTCCTCAGTGTGGCTGGCCCAGGTATTGACCCTACACAGTTGCCTCCTCCTGGTGACTACCAGCTATGGAACCGTTGGATACAACCTACCTGACTCACCCCACAGACCTCACAGCGCACATGGACAGCCTCCACATGCCAGAGTGACCTGCAGCGGGAGTCAAGAAATGTGCCTGCTGGCACTCACCCCACAGACTAGTGCCCCGTGGAAAACTTATTTGGGTAATGTTCTCGGCCCAATAAAGGCTGGAGTCCCACAGACCCCTTTTCTCTCTCCTGCTCCCCACTCATCTTCCCCATTTTGTTCAGCCGTATGAGGTGTGCTACTGTATTAGTCCATTTTCACACCACCGGTAAAGATATGCCCAAGACTGGGTAATTTCCATAAGAAAGAGGTTTAATAGACGCACAGTTCCACATGGCTGGGTAGGCCTCACAATCATGGTGCAAGGTGAAAGGCACGTCTCACATGACAGCAGACAAGACAAGAGAGCTTGTGCAGGGAAACTCCCCTTTATAAAACCATCAGATCTTGTGAGACTTATTCACTATCAGAAGAACAGCATGGGAAAGACCTGCCCCCATGATTCAATTACCTCCCACCTGTTCCCTCCCACAACATGTGGGAATTCAAGATGAGATTTGGCTGGGGACACAGCTAAACCCTCTTCTCAGCTACCCTTTTCTCTCTCGATCTGTGAGTAATAAACCTACTTCTGTGATTTCCCATGTTTTGTTCTGTGGCCTCCATGGGTCTGAGCTGAGCTACACTGGAACCTAACTCTCCACCTGGCCAGGGTCTCTGAGAGTGGCTCTTGTCAGAAATACACAGGACACAGGTCAGGCAACAGTCACCAGGCATCTCCTAGTCTCAACAGATGTTCTGTGAGAGGGAGGCCTGGTCGTGGGATGCACACCTGGCCACTGCTGGGGTAAGGAAGTGTCCTGTGAAAGGCACATGTTAAGCATCCACAATGCCCTGACCAGAACCCCAGAAAGGCAGGGCTCCAATTGACAGTCACTCTCCAGAGACAAACCTCAAGCCCTAACTGGAGGAAAAGAAAACAATGTAAAAAGTTGAATTTATCTTACTATTTCAATGATCCAGTAAAGACATTTTATGCCTGTACACCACATATTTTCTTCGATTGTGGATTTATTTTAGATAGAATTTTATGTCTGGCTTTCACTTTAGCCTGGTCCCTACCTCAAGCATAAGGTAAAGATTTTCCATGGGTTCTTTTCTGGTACTACTACCTGCCAGTGTGGGGTCATGTCCTAGTCTATCTTGAGGGAATCCCCCTGTTCATTATTGTCAGAGTGAGACTGTTAAGTCTTGATTTCCCTGGACAACTTCACTGCATGACTTAATATGATTTTTTTAATAGACCCTTTACTGGGCAATAAATTATATAGTTATCTGAGTAAGCGATATGGTCAGGAAGAGGCATTGCCTCATTCAGCTTTTCTCTTTGGTGAACTTGCATATGTTCTCCTCACCCGCCAGTCACCTCTAAACTGCATTGTTCCAAGACAACAAACAGAACTCGAATGTGTATCTTTCACCACTGGATTTGTGTTTGCTCCATAAAGCTTCATGCTTAATAGGGTTGCTGTTAGCATTTTCTCTATTTATTTTCCCATAAAATATCACAGGCCTTCTTCATATGGAATTATGGGTGATTTCCTTCAATCTGCATAATATCAAGTTGAGGTTCATGTTGATGAAAAGTAAAACATACGTTTAAAATATCAGTAGTGATGTTTTCCCCTCCTTTTTAGCACATGTGCTTGTGATACAAGCACATTTTAATACAATTGTAGTCTCATGCTTTGATCATTCCTAAGATGAAAATAACATTTTTAGATAAAATATCTGAGTCTTATGAGGCCTTTAGTATGTGATGTGATAGAATATCAGAAGACCATACTTTTTTTCTAGTTTTCCGTGCAATTCTATCATTGTTTCATCTTTACTCCTACCAGAGTAATTTTCCAAAATAGCTATCTTGTCATTCTTCCTGTTGTTATCAGTAAATAAGTGAAATGAAAAGCTAGATTATATAATTTATCTAGAACAAGAAAGTAGAATTGAATCTACATTCATTAATGAGACTAACCAATTACACAGATAGGCATTTTACATTTTGAAGGTCATATGGACCCATTGTCAGAAATATTATTATTTATGTCTATATGGACATCACCTGTGCATATTTACATAGAAATCAATGAGAGCTGATTTTTATTTTTATGAGATATATTTTTTGAGATAGGGTCTTGCTTTGGTGCCCAGGATGGAGTGCAGTGGTGCAATCACTGCTCATTGCAGCCTCAGCCTCCCAAGCTCAAGCAATCCTTCCACCTTGGCCTCACAAATAGCTAGGACAACAGGTGCACATCACCATGCCCACTTTTTTTTTTTTTAACTTTTGATAGAGACTGGGTCTTGCTATGTTGCCCAGGTTTCTTTTGAACTCCTGGGCTCAAAGAATCCTCTCATTTCAGCCTCTTCAACTGCTGGTATTATAAGCATGAATCACCATATGGGCTGGAAGCTGATTTTTAAAATACTGAGATCATATAGGTGACAGCAACTGAAAAATAGACAACACCAAGCTTTATGTTAAAAAGTGTGAGGGTATCAATATTGTTGTGGCTATTGGGGAGGAGAACATTAGTAAAACCAGTAAGTTAAAGCTCTTGCTTTAAACTTTGGCTTTAATTTAGCAAATGTTCTACGGAGTGACAGTATGTATGTAACCATGCTATGCCCATTCACAGATGCAGTAGAGGGAAGAATTTCTCAAAGACAACTGTTCTAAGATTGAAATTAAATCGTACTGGGTTTGAAAAGAGAAAGTCCAGGAATTACCAAATATTTTAGATATCAGATAAAAGAGATTGCGAGGTATGCGATGATAATCAGCAATGGTTGTTCACACAATGCATCAAATCAGTATTTGAATTAGCTTTTGAATTCCAAGGACAAATGGATCAAGTCTAGACTCTTTAGTAGATAAATCTTATTAGGCTGAGATGTGTTTTCCCCTGTTTTTCCACAAGGAGATTACAAATTTGCAAACCTCAGCTGCTCTCATTTTATGCTTTCACCAAGTCAAAAGCTGAAGTTCATCAATCAGTGTATCTAAGTGTTCACTGGTTATATACCATTTTGTAGTTTCAGCTATCTTTCCAACTTCCTAAATCATCACCTTCATTTGATCTTGTTTTTTCCCACTATCACTTCTTTATTGACCATATAAAGAATATAAGTAAGTTCTTATCTTGTTATTGTTCATTTTAGTCTAATTTCATCAAAATATCACAATCTTTGAATTTCATTTTAATTTCAAAGATTAAATGAAACCTACATCGAAATGAGTGTAAGATTTGCATTTGCATTCTTTTGGCATCAATTTGCTATCCTCCCTCATGCACATAGAGATCATTTCCATGTACGTGATTTCAAACATCCAAATGCAGTATTAAAAGCAGTTGTAAATTATGGTTCTTATTTTCATGATACAATTACAATATAAACTTCCTCTTGCTGCTGTAACCAATTACTACAAACTTCATATCTTACAATAAAGTGACCGTTAATCCTACGGTTCTGTAGTTCAGAAGCCTTAAATGAAACTCACAGGGCTAACTAACGTCAAGTTTTGGGCAGGGCTGCAGTCTTTCTGAGGGCTATGTGGCAGAATCTATGTACTTGATTTTTTTCAGCATCCAGAGGCCACTTATTCCTTGGAACATGACCTCATTCTTATATCCTATTTTTCTTTTCTTTTTTTTTTTTTTTGAGATGGAGTCTCCTTCTGTCATCCAGGCTGGAGCGCAGTGGCACGATCTCAGCTCACTGCAACCTCTGCCTCCCGGGTTCAAGTGATTCTTCTGCCTCAGCTTCCTGAGTAGCTTGGACTACAGGCACTTGCCACCATTCCCAGTTATTTTGTTTTTGTATTTTTAGTAGGGTAGGGGTTTCACCATGTTAGCCAGAATGGTCTCGATCTCCTGACCTCGTGATCCACCCACCCCAGCCTCCCAAACTGCTGGGATTAGGCGTGAGCCACCGCGCTGGGTCCTCATTCTGGTATCATAAAAGTCAGTGATGTTGAGTAATTTCTCATGCCACCACCTCCAAGGTTGCCTTTCTTCTGCCTTCTTCTTTCACTTATAAGGAAGTTTGTGATTTCATTGATCCCACCCATTTAAGATAATCTATCATTTTTCCACAACCTTAATTTCACTTGAAATCTAATTTCAAACTGCCGTGCAACCAAACATATTTGTATGTTAGACTCTGGGAATTAGGACATGAAAATTTTTTGGAGGCCATTCTTTTGCCTACAGCAGACATAATCTATTTACCTGCAGATTAAAACGTTCTTTATTTTTCTGCCTCCCTCTCTTAATTTTTTTAGAATAATATGAATTGTAATAAAGAGAAAGAAAGAAAAGAAAACAAAGAAAAAGAAGGAAGGAAATAAGGAAGGAAGGAAGGAAATAAAGACGAAAGAAAAGAAGGAGGAAATGAGAGAAGGAAGGAAAGGAGGGAGGGAGGGAGGAAGGGAGAAAGGCAGGAAGGGAGAAAAAACAAAGCATGAACACAAGAAAGAAAGAAAGAATGAAAGAAAGAGAAAGAAAGAGGGAAAGAGAAAGAAAGGAGGAAGGGAGGAAGGAAAGGAGGAAGAGAGAATCGTAAAAGGGAGGAAGGCAAAGAAACAAAGAAAATAAAGAGGGGAATGAAGGAAAAAGAGGAAAGGAAGGGAGGGAGGAAGGAAGAAAAGGAGGGCGGGAGGAAGGGAGAAAAAAGGAAAGAAAGCAAGAACGTGAGAAAGAAAGAAATAATACTAGAAAAGAAGGAAGAAAAGGGAGGGAGAAAGGAAGGGAGGGACGAGGGAAGGAAGAATAAGGGAAAGAAAGAAAGAAGGAAAGAAGGAAGGAAGGAAAAAAAAGAAAGAAAAGAAAGAAAGGAAAAGAAAAAAGAAAAGAAAAGGAAGAGGAAAAGAAGAAAGGAAGGAAGAAGGCAAGGGAAGGGAAGAGAAGAGAAAGGAAGATGGAAAGAAGGAAGGAAGACCGCAAATATTAGAAATTCTGGGTTTGTTAGAGAATATGCCAAACTGTTTTTTTTTTTCACTTGAAAGGAAAGAGTATCTGCCATTGCAGATTGGATGTCTTGTTGGTGATATTGTTGTTCTTATCTTCCACATGTTTATTGAGTTTGTGCCTAGTCTTTCCATTACTAAGACAAAAGTGTTGAAGTCTGCAAATATAATTTTGGATTTTTCTAGTTCACCTTTGATTTCTTTCATGTTTTTCCTCATGTATTTGGAGGTTCTGTTGTTAGCTGCGTACCCTAATTAGTAGGATGTTTACATCTTCTTGAGAATTGATGATTATATTATCTATTATCTCTCATCTCTGATACTATTTCTTGTTCTGAACTCTGTTGTGTCTAATATCAACGTAGTCCATCCACAGCTTTATTTTAGTGTTTCCATGATATGGCATTCTCCATACCTTGATGATAACCTATTTATATCTCTATATATTTGGAGCACGGTATAAAATTTAGACTTGATTTTTAAAGAGTTTTCAAGATGTAATTCTTATTTATTTTTGTTCTATTTGACATTCTCTGAGTTTCCTATATCTGAAGTTTGATTTTCTGTCACTTCTTTTAGAATATTTTTGGCAGTTGTTTTGAAAAATATTTCTTTGGCTCTATTATTTTTTCCTCTTTTCTTTTTGGGATTTCAATCATAACTAGAGTAGGTAATTTCATCTCAGTCTTATGCAGGTACTTTTTCTCAAGGTCTCAGGAATGTAGCCTTCTCACACTTCTGTTCTTTTCCTGGCTGTGTTGGTGAACTCAGTGATATTCCTCCTTCACTTCAAGAGCAGTTTTGTTTTGTTTTTCCTGTTTTCATACTCCCAGCATCGGGAGTATTCTAAGTGTGGCAGTTTTTGTTGCCTTCCCCTACATATTAAGTGGAATATCTTGGTCTATTTGGACTCTTATAACAAAATAACATAAACCGGGTGACTAAAAAACAACAGATATTTCTTTTTTCACACTTCTTGAGGCTGTAAGATCTCAGGTCAAGATGCTCACAAATTCAGTGTTGATGAGAGCCCATTTCATGGTTCATAGATGGTGCCTTCTTTCTATGTCCTCACATAGTGGAAGACACACAAGAACTCCATTGAGCTTATTTTATAAAGGCACTAATCCCATTCATAAGGGCTCGGCCCCCAAGACCTGGTCATCTCCCAAGTGTTCTGCTCTCCCTGATCTGTGTCATATACAGACTTTCTTGGATTCCTTACCAATTGCTTGAGAGATCGCAGTGGGTTTGTGGGGAAAAAGTTTTCAAGATGATGGATCTTTCCAAACTTCTGCAGCTGTCAGCTGTCTCCCAATCTCACAAGCCCCACTTTGTCTTTAGGAATTTATTGATTATTCCAGCTTTACTTGTCATAGTGGTATTTGCATCTGTCCTATGTAAGTGCATCTGTCCTCTTTCTCCTTGAAGTTGCTTGCTTTCCCTCATATTTTGACTCAGTTCTTGGCAACCTGGTTGCTATAAAAATAAAGTCATGACTTTGAAGTTAGTTTCGTTCTTACATTGTTGTCAGGTTAGGAACCCTATTCCATCCCAGATCACCAAAACCCAGAGTTTTTTGAGGGTTGAAATTTTAGGCTTTCTCTTTGAATTGTAGTTTTATCTTCTTTCAGTTACCATTTGCATTTTCATAATGATTAATGAGACTAAGCTTTTTTTGTGTAGTTGACTGTACCTTTGGATTTTTTTCCCAAATCCCTTTTCATTTCTTATTTTCTTTGTGGTTTTAGAAAATGTAGTTTACATAATTGCAGTTTGATTTTTTACTCAGTTAATGGCATGCTTAATGGAGAGAAAAAATATTAAATATATTTCCCTTTTTAATTACTGTGCTTTTTTCTTTTTTAAGGAAATATTTCATTATGTTAAATTTCAGTGTTATTCTACTTAGCTATTCCATAAATATTATAGTATTTTGGATTTCATATATAAATTTGTAAGATATCTTAAGTTTATTATGTAGAGAGTAAGGCTATTTTCTCTTTTTTGTTTTTCAAGGTAAAAATCACAAAATATAAAATTAATAACTTAACCATTTTAAAGCATACAATGCACTTGTTTTTAGTATATTCACAATGTTCCAGGGCAATTTCATCATGTCCCTTCCAAAAACCCATTAGGTATAAAGTTGTTACACCTTATTCTGCTTCCCTGAGCCCTAATGACCACTAACCTGATTTATATCCCAATTGATTTGCCAATTCCTGATGTTTCATGTGAATAAAATCAAGTAATATTTGTCCTTTTGTGCACTTATCATAATGCTTTCAAATTTCACCCATATTATACCATATATAAGTACTTCATTCTTTTTTATAGCTGAAAATTGGGTGTCCATTTATGACTCAACAAGCATATGGATTGTTTCCACTTTTTGACTGTATGAATATTAATGTTGTAAATATGCATGCACATGTTTATTTTTTGAGCACCTATGTTTTGTAAGATTAACAGCTGACTTAAGAGAAACAATGGAAGACAAGAGGCAGTAGAAAAATATATTCAAACGATGCAAAGGAAAAAAAAACTGTCAGCCACGAATTCCTTATCCAGCAATTATTTTTCAAAAATGAAGATAACACAAAGACTTACCCAGATAAACAGAAATATTAACTGAAGTTGTTGCTGGCAGACCTACCATATAAAAAAAAACTCTAAAATAAATTCCTAAGGCTAAAAGCAAGTTACATAAGCCAGTCATTTGAATCCACATTTTTAAAAAAGCACTGGTATAGGTAATATTAACATTATAAAAACAGTAGAAATGCATGTTTTCTCTTTATCATAAATTGTTTATAAAATAATATGCATATAACGGCCAGGCACGATGGCTCATGCCTGTAATCTCAGCATTTCGGGAGGCCGAGGCGGGCATATTACGAGGCCAGGAGATCGAGACCATCCTGGCTAACACAGTGAAACCCTGTCTGTACTAAAAATACAAAAAATTAGCTGGGCGTGATGGCGGGCGCTTGTAGTCCCAGCTACTCGGGAGGCTGAAGCTGAAGAATGGCATGAAGCCGGGAGATGGAGCTTGCAGTGAGCGGAGATTGTGCCACTGCACTCCAGCCTGGGTGGCAGAGGGAGGCTCCATCTCAATGATAATAATAACATGTGCATAATGTATTGCTGAGTATTTGACATATGGAAATGTAATACGTCTATAACATATTTTCCAGTAACATCAAAAAGGAGGTAGTTGGAAGAAAAATGTATTGTGATAAGGTAATCACTCTAGATGGTAAAGCACTAATTACTAAAATATATTGTTGGCTTTGTAACGTTAATAGATGTAACGTGTAAAGTGATAATACTTTAAAATGGAGGAAATAAAAGAGATTTGTATAAGAATGATGTTTCTATGTATTACTAAAAGTTTACTGGTATAAATTGGAAGATGATTTGAATAACTAATTTTCCATATACCTATATGGTAAACTTACAACAACCACAAAAATTCTCAAAAATATATAGTAAAATAATTCATTAGTAATCTAGAGTTCCCTATTTTAGAAAATATTCATTCATTGCAAAATAAAGAAAGAAAAACATTTGAGAAATATACACAACAAACGGTAAAATGGCAGACATAAATAGAATTATACCAATTATAATATTAAATGTGAACAGATTAAAATCCCTTCAAGAGGCAGAGATTGTCAGACTGGATTAAAACCAGTGATCCCAATATACCCAGAGATGCAAGGATACTAATGGATTGAAAGTAAAAAGATGACAAAAAATATCATGCAAAGAGCAATAATAAGAACACTGAACTCATTATACTCATAACACACGAGATAGACTATTAAAAATGTGAATAGGATTTTAAATATTTATATTGTAGTAATAAGGAGGTCAAGGCTTTTGGAAGACATAGCTATTACAGTCATGTATGCACAGATATCAGCTAAATTGTTTCCTCTATATAGATGCTGAAATCCTAACCACTGAAAATGACCTCATTAGAAAATAGGTTCTTTGCAGGTGATTAAGTTAAGATAAAATCAGATGAGCCTGAATTCAATATGACTGATGTCTTTATAAAAAAAAAAATGAGTAGAGGGAGACATACACACAGGGAGAGTACCATGTGATTATGAGGGCAGAGATTAGCCAAGGAATGCTAAAGACTGCCACTAAACCACCAGAAGCAAGAAACAAGGCACAGAACAGACTTTCTCTCATAGCCCTTGAAGGGACCATCCCTGCTGACACCTCAATCTCAGACTTTTAGCTTCCAGGACTATAAGACTATAAACGTATGTTGTTCAAGGCACCCAGTTTGTGTTAGTTGGTTATGGGAGCCCTAGAAAACTAATACATGAACTAATAACAAAGCATAATAACATGAAGAAAAAATTGACAAAAGAGGAGCATCAGCAAAACGGCAGTGGAGACAGCTGCAATCTTTCATTTCCCCACAGAAACATCACACAACTAAGAGAAACTGTCCGAATAAACTTTGCCAAAACTCTGGAAAATGGTCAAAAGATTACAACAACCAAGTGAAAGCAGACTCAAGAAAAAGACAACTTGAAAACTTTATGACATTTTTAACTTGCCTTTGCAGCAGCAAATTGGCAGTTTTGAAGTGTCAGAAGCCCACGTTCCCAGTGAGGAACCCTGGTCCATGATCCAAAGGAACAAGAGAAGATCTTACCCGCAAATTACTATGTGTCTGTTCTGACTGGTCTGGGGGATACCTAAAGGACTCATGAAAGGCTTTTGTTTTTTCTGTGTTGCTAGAATACAGAACAGATAAGGAATGGACATTATCAAGAAACTCTGCAAGGAGACCTAACAAACCACAGATGCTTAGGGCAAAAATTAGAGCTTACACATATAGTAGATCACCTTCAGCACAGGAAGAAAAGTTGGAGAAGAGTATTTGGAAAACTAAGACATTCAAAATCATTCACGTACACGAGAGAGTCTAGAAAGTCACATGTATGCATAGGTTAAGTCACATGCTGACAAATGTCATAAGAAGACCCTACACTTTTACCTTGGCCGATCCCTCTCCTCAGTGCAAGCTCTGTGCAAGAGTGAACTTGAACTTCACTCAGTGCAAGAGTGAACACACACTTTGTTTCGGCTTTAAAGAACCCAGCACGAAGCCAGTCTGCATGGCCTAGAGACATATTTTGCTGGATAATGATTACTTGTTTTTCTTTTTGTGTTTGTTGTATTTGCCGGTTTGCTTAGTTCCTGACATACAAGAAAATCACTGTCAAAACATTAGCTTAACATTTGTCAAGGAAACAAAAAGACTTCGGTGACCACACCTTATAAAGCAAACAGTTTTGTAAATCACTTTGGAAATTTCAGTAAAAAAAAAATCCTTAACAATATAATAAGTAAAGAAAATTTAAAACCCCAAAACATTACTGTGTTTGGGGGGGGGGGGGTTCTGATTTACAGAGTAACCACATAGTAATTATAATTATTATAATGCCCAGTTTTCAAAAAAAGTTCCAAGGCATACAAAGAATGGGAAAGTGTGGCTCATTCAAAGGAACAAAACAAACTGACAGAGAATATCTCTAAGGAAACCCAGACTTCAAAATTACTAGACAAAGACTTTAAAACAACTCTCTTAATTATACTCAAATGTCACAAGGAAAACATAAACAAAGAAATAAAGGATTCAGAAAAAATATTAAAATGTAGGAATATCAACAGAGATAGCAGAAATTCTGGAGTGGAAAACTACAACGATAAAAATTTCAAAATCACCAGAGGGATTTCAGAGTATATTTGCACACACAGAAGAAGTCATGAGCTTGAAGATGAGAAAATGGAAAATATTGACTCTGAGAAACAGATAAAAAATGAGCAGAGACTAAGGAATCTGTGGGACATCATCAAATAGACCAACATTCATACTCTAGAAGGATAAATTATGTTGTTGAAAACTTTAGCATTCTTTCTTTCCACCTTTCTTCCTCCCTCTCCCTCCTCCTCTTTACTTTTCTTCCTCTTCCTTTCTCTTCTTCTTTCTCTCCTTCATTATCCCTTTCGCTCTGTTTATCTTTCTCCCTTTCTCTTTTTTCTTTTCGTTCAATTTTCTCCATTACTAAGAGATGTTTAAATACCCTTACCATGTGAGTTGATATGGTTATTTCTCCGTTTAATCCTCTTTTGAGATTTACAGTCACTCTAAGTAAAGAGATTACCCAAACATAAGCCTCACAAACAGGCTCCCATACCATTCTTAATTTGGTCCTGTAATTCTTCATTGCTGTATTAACTTTCTGATGCTTTTAAGGATGTTTTATAACAAATTGTTTAGTTTTTTCCACTGGAATGTTTATTCTGAATTATCTAATTCATATTGTAAATATAGAGGGAGTTTAATATAAAATTATTAAACTAATATTTATGAAAGAACGTATTTGTGCATTTAACAAATATGTTAATCCTCAGACTGTTATTGGGCAGCTGAGCATACAGCAATAAAAATAACAATTTTTATGTGTATAATATTTATGGAATACGTTACTGGAACAAATAAATAATTTAGTTAATAACATGACAAAGAACAGAAATTGTATACACTATAGAGCATAGTAATGGAATAATGAATGATTAAAGTTATTAATATTAGGTAGAAAATGAAGGGTATCTTTGAGAGCAGATCTCAAGGAAGCAAGCAATTTGCCTTATGAGGAAAGAGTTACCTGTGGATAAAGGAGAAACTGAAAAATTTAGAAGTCAAGACTTTTTGAGCAAAAACAAAAATATGACTATTAGTCACCAATTCAGTACAGTGAAAAAAGAGTTGAAGAGATATCTTGGAAGTAAACCATGTTGTGGAAGAGCATGTAGGGTTTTGATAATCATGGGATTATTCTGAATTAATTTTAAATGCGATAGGAATATATGAGATACTTTCACCAGAGAATAACATGATTGTGTTTGCATTTCAATGAGGTGTATCTGGTGCACCGTGTAGAATAAATAGGTTATGTGAGCAAATAAATTGGGAGGCTATTGTAATCCAGAGAAAAAAGGTAGTGACTTAGGTGAGAATGCTGTCAGGATGAGTGGTATTAGTGGTTAGAAGTTGTTAGGCCATGGATGTATTTCAGAGGACTGGCCAAGAGAACTGCAGCTAAATTGAAGTGTAGGGAGTGAAATGGAGAACTCAAAGATGACTCTCAGCACTGGAAGGTGACAGCTGTCACTGAAGCATGCTGATGACTCTTATTAAGTGAGTTACTTGGGAATGGCAAGATCAAAACTTCTCACTTTCAAATTTATGAAAAATATTGTTTTCAGAAAGAATGACTTTGGGATCAGAAAGCCATCATTCTAATTGATGGTTCCAAGACTACACGGGCTCACACTCCCAAGAGCAAAAGTAAATCATCACAAAGGTGCTTCCTGATAATTCTAGAGAATGGAGAATTACTGTAACATCTTTCTGATTTTAGGAGAGGTAGCAGTTCCCTGTTTAGCCTAAACGCTATTTTTTTTAAAGCTCAGCCAAGAGACTCCATTATAATTTTCAAATGTGTGTAACTTAAATTCTCATATGAAATACCACTATGCTTAAATTAGTCAAAACATTTTCCCCATCTACAACTCTATCTTGTCATTGCAATCATTTTCACAAAAGTGACTGCAGCTCACAGACCCTAAAAGGAGAAAATCCAGGGTAGGTTATCTGATCTAGTTAGTTTGGAAGACAGGATCTAGAGATTATTTAATATGAAATAGGTCACCTGAAATGAAGTGTTTACTGAAAACAGCTTGGATCAGCCAAGTTTTCTACCACTGAACCATGCATTTGGTTTAAAAAACACAACAACTCTGGGGAATATCAGCTGCTTCCAACTGTGTTGAAGGTGTTAAAGAAAAGAGCATAAAATTAAAAATGATCATCTGAGGCCTTTATAGTCTCTGCTCAAGAGACTAGAATCTTCCATTCTTAACGAAACACCCAAATATCTTAATAATTGGGCAAAATCGAAATATCAGACAGATAATTTTATCTTGAAGATTGTTAAATTATAGTGGTGATTCACTACCTTGCCACGTCTCTGACTCAAAAATTAGGTCTTTGTTTAGGAATCAATGGTACTCTGCAACTTGGAAATAGGAAGATTTTAGAAGACTCAAACATTGACTTTCTTGTGTGCAAAAAAAAAAGACGTATTGAGATAAGACAAGTCTTTCCTTGCAAGGATACCTCTAATGTTCATACACCACCTCCCCTAACGTTAATATAGCTTCCAGGTCACTAACCAGTGTCAGAGAGCAGCCCATGCAACTACAAATTCAATAGATGTCGAACACAGGGTCAAGCCTAGAATAAGAAGTCTCAGCTAATTAACTATGCTTTTTTCCCCAAATTCACATTAAGAAAAACTTGGATATGTCAGAGAATGCATTCTAAGTTCACTCAGCCTAGGAGGGAGAAACATAATTTTAAATTAAGAGCTGAAGCATTCTTGTCCTAACAGAAAGCAAGGAAAACGAAATATCACACCACAGGAGGGATTTCACAAATTAGTGTCAACATCAAAACCTTAAAATAGGCAAGGAGAATACAGATTCACAATGAACTCTTGTACTTGTTTTGTTCAGAGAAGAGATGGTTCTGAGAGAATGACAGTGAACTAACCCCAGCTGGTTTAGTTGGTGCTTTCAACTGCTGCTTCTGATCAACTCCTTTAGCTAGAATAAATTGATGAGGATTTTGGCATGTGGTATTAGAGATGGTTCTTTTTTCCTCTTATTTGCATTGTTCAATGTAGTAAATACTAGCTGTATATGGCTACTTCAATTCAAATTAATTACAATGAAATATACTTCAATATTGAATTTTTTAGTGACTGTTGGTTCATTATTGAATATCTTCAGCTAAGATTTCCCATCTAAATACACTAAGAGGTGGTTTAGTTAACTGGTCGTCCACAAATATTGACGCTGATGTTAACTCCTGATATATTCTCTGCAAATAGAATATTCATGAGCCTCCTCCTGAAATCAGCAGCCTAGAGATAGTTTTATAAATTGGATACCAGTTGGAAATCTATATACTCTTTAAGTTTTTGAAATATTAGCTTCCCAGGGAAGAAAATCAAATTCATGAGATATGTTAGGACAATTTAACTCAAGATGCTCAAAACTGAAATGATGTATTCTACAATATGTGATAAAACCACCCCCTAACAACTTAAAGCAAAACAGGGATTGACCTTAAAGACCTGCCTTTTCCTCATCCCCCAGCCAGTTTTCAAATCTTGCATTTTATTTCCAAAGGTCCTTATCTCCCTAGTCTCTTGTTTCTAGACTCGGCACATATTTAAGTTTGTTACCTCTATCTACTGACTTTTCTCTTTTCAAACAGTATCTATGCCTGCCAAATGTGAACATATAAAAAAAAATCAGAATGTGCCATTCTGATTTAAACTGCTTATTA
Source organism: Homo sapiens (assembly GCF_000001405.40). Lineage (NCBI taxonomy): Eukaryota > Metazoa > Chordata > Mammalia > Primates > Hominidae > Homo > Homo sapiens. The sequence continues at coordinate 10,571,404 of NC_000022.11, forward strand.
GTTAAAACCCTCAAGATAACATCTGGGTTCTTAGCTGCAATGAGTCAAGCCTACTTACATCTTTTTTTGTCTTTGGCTGCACATTTCCTATCTCATCACACTCCAGCAAAGCCAAGCTGTGCCGGCCTTCTACACCAGATCCACTATTTTGCCCCGCGTCGCCGCGGATTTTTGCCCCCCCGCCGCCGCCGCGACTTTTTGCCCGCCGCGGCTTTTTGCCCCGCCATGGCTTTTTACACCCCGCCGCCGCGGCTTTTTGTTCCCTGCCGCCGTGGCTTTTTGCCTGACCCGGCTTTTTGCCCCCCCACCGCCGAGGCTTTTTCACCCCCGCCGACGCGGCTTTTTGCTCCCCCCCGCTCCGGTGTCGCTGTTATTTTGCCCGCTGCGGCTTTTTGCTCCCCCCCGCTCCGGTGTCGCGGTTATTTGCCCGCCGCGGGTTTTTGCACCCCCCGGTGCCGCCCTTTTTTGCCCGCCGTGGCTTTTTGCCCCCCGCGGCTTTTTGCCCCCCGCCGCCGCGGGTTTATGCCCGCCGCGGGTTTTCGCTCCCCGCCGCCGCAGCTTTTTGCCCTCCGCCGCCGCGGCTTTTTCCCCACCGCGGTTTTTTGCACCCCCGCCGCCTCGGGTTTTTGCCCGCCGCGGCTTTTTGCCCGACCCGGCTTTTTGCCCCGCCGCCGCCGAGGCTTTTTCATCCCCGCCGCCGCGGCTTTTTCCCGCCGCGGCTTTTTGCCCGCCGCGGCTTTTTCACCCTCGCCGCCGCAGCTTTTTGTCGCCGCGGATTTTTGCCCCCCCACCACCGCGGCTTTTTGCCGCCCGCCGCCGTGGCTTTTTGACGCCCTGGCTTTGCTCCCCCGCCGCCGCGGCATTTTGCCCGCCGCGGCTTTTTGCCCCCCCGCCGCCGCGGCTTTTTGCGTGCCTCGGCTTTTGCCCACCCGCCGCCGCAGCTTTTTGTCCCCCCCCCACCGCGTCTTTTCGCGCGCCTCTGCTTCTTGCCCCCCCGCCGCCTCGGCTTTTTCCCCACCGCGGTTTTTTGCCGCCCCGCCTCCTCGGGTTTATGCCCGCCGCGGCTTTTTCCCCCCGCCGCCGCGGCTTTTTGCCAGGCGCGACTTTTTGCACCCCCGCCGCCGCGGTCTTTTCCGCGCCGAGGCTTTTTGCCTCCGCGGATTCTTGCCCGCCGCGGCTTTTTCGTCCCCGCGCCGTGGCTTTTTGCCGCCGCGGCTTCTTGCCCGCCGCGGCTTTTTGCCCCCCCCGCCGCCGCGGCTTTTTACCCGCCGCCGCTTTTCGCCCCCAGCTGCCGCGGCTTTTTGCCCACCACGGCTTTTTGCCCCTCCCTGCCACGGCTTTTTGCCCCCCCGCCGACGCCGCATTTTGCCCGTCGCGGCTTATTGCCCCCCTGCCGCCATGGCTTTTTGCCCCCTGCCGCCTCGGCTTTTTGCCCCATGGCCATCCTCAGAAGCGTTGAGTGGAACGGAGTGAAGGGAAAGCTGTTTTCTTCTAAAGCTCAAAAATCTTGAACTTTCAAATAGGGATAAGTGTTATTTTTGCTCCAAGCACACATTTGAGAAATCTTCCATTTAGCGGATCTGATGATAAACCCACATTTTTTGTTTGTTTTAATCTGAAAATGTATTTCTCTGGTTCTTGGAAATTTTTTTTGCATATAAGATTATATTTTATCATCTTATTTCATGTTTTATTTACCATTTGATGATTACTCTTAAAATGTCCTTGATTAAAGAATCATCTGTTGCTCCAACTGCTCTTTACTAAAGGTAATTTGTCTTTTCAACCTCATCAGGCTCCTTTTAAGCTCTCAAACTGACCTTATTTTTTTTTTACAGATTCAATGCATTAAGTCAATTTATTATTTATGATGAATTTATTTATGTATTTATTTTCACTATCACAAGTAGAAAAAGCCTGTAAGTTGCTATGCCAAAAACCTGCCTCTAGATGGCAAACAAACCCCACAATACACAAAAAAGAGCCAAATTCTTAGAAACCCTGGGAAAGGAAGAGGGCTACTGTCCCATTAACAACTTGGAGCCCTTAAGGCAAGAATGAGGTGGAACATCTGGGAGGAGACACCAGGGTGCGGAGTAGTGGGGAACCTGCTCTGTGCGCTGAGACTGAAAGCCCAGCCTTGCCTCTCACCGCTGCCTTGACTGTGTCCCCATGTGCTGTGAAGTGAATGGTGTCTTCTAAATTCATGCTGAGCCCTAATTGCTGAAAAGTGTAAGACATGCAATGAGGGGATTATGTGCATCTTCCCGACACCAACATGATGCTCAGGAAGGAGACTTCTTGTTTTCTCTTAGGATTCTTTTACTAACCAAGATTTTGCCTCTACTGCATATTTCCCTTTGCTGATTGTCCCTCCCTTTTGACAGAAGATGGCCCAGGGCATTCACTACTAAGTCTCAACCTCTTACCCAAAGCCCTCAGTCTAGTGTTGCTCTTTCCTTCATGCTATTTTTGTTTGTTTCTTTTCTTGTAATCATCTTGGCAATAAAATAATCAGTTTTTTCTTTCTACCTATTAAAGATGTTACCTTAGTTAATTACAGTGGTTTCCTTCAGAATGATAAATGGTCTTTCAAAATGATGTAGAGAGATCTAAATCCGTGTGCTCCAGAAGTTGAATGAAGATCTGTCTAGCACGGGTGCCAGTGACTCTCCCAGAGTGCTCCATGCAGCTGGCCCCACAGAGTCCCTCTGTACTGTCATATCACCCACTGCCTTCTGTGAATGAGATATTCTGATTAGAATCCTGGTGGATGCTATTTGAGCCAGTGCCCCCACAACTCCTATGAAAGCCGAGGACCACAGGCCCCTGAAGACAATCACAGGTCTCTAGACTCACAGCTCATGACCGTCCTCTGCAGACACAGCTTCTCCCTGGATGGCTGAGGGTTGTCATTGGCTGTGTCCTTCCTTGTGCATGACAACAGGAGACATAGAAGGTCTGTAAGCAGCCCTGCAAGCCAGGTTCTGAGCAAGCCCTCCTGTGTGGGGCCCTCTTACCTGGACATAGGTGTGTAAACCAAAAATGAAACTCTAAGCTCCCTAACCAACTGAATGAACTCCTCCTCTCAACCAAGGACACACCAAAATCAACCTGAAATACAATGCAGTCCATGATCGGAACGGATGATTGGATATGCCTTAACTTACCCTCTTCCCTTTAAAATTCAGGCACAACTGACCAGCTTTTAATATGAAGACAGAAACCTTGAGACTGACAAAGAAAACTCTTTATAGCAATAAGATACCAATGTGACAGATACCACGTCCTAAGAGAAATCAAAGTATTTTCCCCAAGCTATTGTTATTTAATGTATTTAAAAATGCCTCTGCAAAGCTGGTTCTTGTGGGAAAAATCTACATTCTGTAGAGATTCCTTTTTAAATCTCTTTCCTGACCCAGAGAGATTTAACTAAGAGTTTGGCACCTTTTAAGTCTAATAAGAAACAATTACAATCTATTCTCTCTGAAGCCTGCTACCTGGAGGCTTCATCTGCATGATGCAACCTTGGCTCCAAAACCCTTTTTCTAAACCCAGAAACTCCCTTGTGTTGATTACAGGTCATTAGATAAACGCTTTCAACCACCTATGAAATCTCTGAATCCACCTATGACCTGGAAGTCCCCAACATCCCCCCTCCTTCGGGCTGTCCTGTCTTTCCATATCAAAGCAATGTACAGCTTACACGTATTGATTAATATCTTATGTCTCCCGAAAACGTGTAAAACCAACCTGTAGCCCGACGACCTTTGACACACGTTCTCAAGACCTCCTGAGGCTGTTTCACTGATATTTCTTTAACTTTGACCAAATAAATTTCTAAACTGATTGAGACTTTTCTCAGATACTTATTTGTTTATAGGTATCACTGGATACACTTAAGGAATTGAAGAGATTTATGACATTGAGAAAAGGAGGAAGCCAGGGTGTATGGAGAGAGAGAGAGAGAGAGAGAGAGATTGTGATGTATGTACAGGACTAACACTGAGACCTGGTTATGTAATGGTGTAGTACTGAGTATCATCCCCAAATAGTGAGGTTTCATTCCAGGAAGACTATACATGTATCTCATTTGGGAAAACAGCTTTTGCAGGTGTAAATTAAGGAGCTTGAAACAGGGAGATATTCTTAGATTAATCAACTGGGACTTAAATGCAAACTCAAGTGTCCTAAAAAAACCAAGAGGTAGAGAGACATTTAGCATAGACTGAAGTGGAGAAGGCAATGTGAACACAGAGACAGAGATTGCAGTCACGTGTCCACATCCCGGGAGAGAGAAGCCACCAGAAGCTGGAAGAGCTAAATCAGACTGCCCCCTACAGCTTCAGAAGGAGCCAGAACTGATGACTCCAAGATCTTAGCCCAGTGAAACTGATCTGGACTTCTGAACTATGAGAGATTCCATTCCTGTTGTTTGAAGCTACCACATTTTTGAGAACTTGTTACAGTAGCCCGAGGACACTAACACAAATGGGGCTCCGGGAAAATCCAGACTAAAGGTGTTGTGTTGGTTTGCAATCTCCTTGCTTAACTTTCTGATACTAGACGTAAATAGATTGGTGAAAAATTTTGTGATTGAAGAAATGTACATGAAACCTACAGTGTACAGAGAAGCATCTGTTAGTTATAAGATAAATATTGATAATTTTAGTTGAAAATGACATATGACTGTCAATATCTCACATAACATTCTGAGTTACTCAAGAATGCATAAAAGGGGCACTAGATACTCTTCTCATGTATGTGTGTGTGTCTGTCTATACATGTATGTACGCTTCATGGTGCATCAGTTGGCGGAACCCTCAGGACACCCCTTCACATCCTCAGTGACCCATTTCACACATGAGGAAACTGTTCATGACAGCACATGGCTGATTTGCATAAAAGTCACTTGGTCAGCAGTTGTTGAAGCTGAACTTGGAATCTAGGTCTGTCTGACCTTAACTATGTTCCTTCCACAGAGCCACGTTCATTCCATAGAGGAACCCACCACCTATAAAACCAGGAAAGAGACAAAGCCAGAAGTGCAGGGTGGATTTCTTAACAAAGGTCACTGCGACCTCTAGTCCTCATCACGCTGACACTAAGCTTAAACCCAGACCCTTCTACAGTTTTGTCTACAAAGCACAATTTGCCCAAAGTCTTTACAAACACCAACAGCCTTTCTTTCAGATATGGCAGCAGGGTCACATCTTACACGGCCCTGACCACATTTTGTCTCCTCTGCCATCCCCATCTCTCTGACTCAGTCCTCGCTTGCAGCCATAAAAAAGGATGAGTTCATGTCCTTTGTAGGGACATGTATGAAGCTGGAAACCATCATTCTCAGCAAACTATCACAAGGGCAAAAAAAAATCACTGCATGTTCTCACTCACAGGTGGGAATTGAACAATGAGAACACATGGACACAGGAAGGGGAACATCACACACCAGGGCCTGTCATGGGGTGGGGTGAGGGGGGAGGGATAGCATTAGGAGGTATACCTAATGTAAGTGACGAGTTAATGGGTGCAGCACACCAACATGGCACATGTATACGTATGTAACAAACCTGCACGTTGTGCACATGTACCCTAGAACTTAAAGAACAATAATAATAATAATCATCATCATAATAAAAGAATGAGTCTTGTACATCTAATTTGCCCCACAAATGTTAAAACAGCAAACCTGCATCCCCTTCCTCTTCTCATGTGCTGTGAGGGATGACCTCCAGGCTCTCAGATATTTCTAAGATATTTCTCAGTTGCTATTCTCATGGGCCAGGAGAAAACATCTTTTGTGAGGCTAGCTCTCTTATATCCTCATACTCTCTCCCCCACATAGCATTTTGTTTCTTTGTAATCCTTTGCTGCTCCTGAGCTACAGGATCTAGAAAATAATTGGAAATTTAACAGTGAAATTAATTTCTCGCTAGCATTTGCCTTTATCAGACTGAAACAGTGTGTGCTTTCATCTGATTGCAATACATGCCTGTATGTGTATGTATACAATACACACACATATAACATATATGTATGTATACAATACACACACATATATGTATGTATACAATACACATACATAACATATGTATACAATACACACACATATAACATATATGTATACAATGCACACACATATAACATGTATGTATACAATACATACACATATATCTATGTATACAATACATACACATATAACATATGTATGTATACAATACATCACATATAACATATGTATACAATACATCACATATAACATATGTATGCAATACATCACATGTAACATATATGTATGTATACAATACATACACATATAACATATATGTATGTATACAATACATACACATATAACATATATGTATGTATACAATACATACACATATAACGTATATGTATGTATACAATACATACACATATAACGTATATGTATATATACATGCATAATATGTACATATGTATATATACAATATATAAATTGCATTATACATACATATGTATATAAAAATTGCAATGTACGCACATATGTATATATGTATGTATTGCAATATACATATTGCAATATACATATATACAACGTACACACATATGTATACATGTATATATTGCAATATACACATATATTACCATATATAATATATATTATATATTTATATATAATTTATATATATAATATATATTTATATATAAATATTATATATATATTATATATATATATATTTAAAAATCTATGTATATATGAATGTATTAGTCAGGGTTCTCCAGAGCGAAAGAATAGGATATATATTCTCAGGGAGTTTATTAAGTAGTATTAACTCAGATGATCACAGGGTCCCACAGTATGCTGTCTACAAGCTGAGGAGCAAGGAAACCAGTCCGAGTCCCAAAGCTGAAGAACTTGGAGTCCGATTTTCAGCATGGGAGACAGATGTAGAATGGGAGTCTAAGCCAGTCTAGCCTTTTCACGTTTTTCTGCCTGCTTTATATTCTGGTCACACTGGCAGCTGATTAGATTGTGCCCACCCACATTGAGGGTGGGTCTGCCTTTCCCAGCCCACTGACTCAAATGTTAATCTCTTTGGCAACACCCTTACAGACACACCCAGGATCAATACTTTGCATCCTTCAATCCAATCAGGTTGACACTCATTGTTAAACATCCCAATGAATATATATTGCAAGAAGAAATATATGTGTATTTTTTCTTACTATATTACCATATGTCAACTATAAGAAAATAGTGTGGAAGAAGAGAAGAAAAACCTTAATACACACATAAGTAAAGCCAGAAACATCCTTGTAGAATTAGGATATATAATATATCTCTATGTTTTAATCTTGCTGTTTTTTGTTTTCCCACAGCCATGTTTCTAAATATGCCTTAACTAGGTACAGTACAGACTTGGCAAAAACTCTTTCCAGTCAAGGTGCATACATAGGTAGAATTTTCTGTTTCAAGAATGATTGATAAACAGATGGTGTATCTGTCAAGATTTTCCAGAGAAAAATAAACAATAAAAAATGTGTAGACAGATGGATGAATGGATGAATGGATGGAGAAAGAGACAGAGAGAGAGAGAAATAGATTTATTTTAAGAAATTGGCTTATGTGATTGTGGAGGCTAGTAAGTCCAAAATCTGCAGGATAGACCAGCAAGCTGGAGACCCAGGAAAGAATGAATGTTGCAGCTCAAGTCTAAGGCAGTCTGCTGCCAGATTCCCTCTTCCTCAGGAGAGAAAGATGTTAGGAGAGGTCAGTCTTTCCATCCCCCCACCATTAAGGGCTTCACCTAATGAAATGAGGCCCACCTAGATTATGGAGGTTAATCTGCTTCACTCAAAGGCTACTAATTTACATGTTAATATCATCTTAAAAATTCCTTCACAGCAGAATTCAAAATAGTGTTTGACCAAATATCTGGACCTTAACATGTAAAATTAATAATTACAGAAGGACAGATTATGGAAGACAAAGAACACATTTTTCTTACCAGGTAAAGAATTAGATTCATTAATTTTAGGTAAACTGAAATTATCCTAAATTACTTTTAATTCAAACCAAAAGACAAGGAGAGATAATGTAGAATTGTCATGCAAACAGTGTCAAAATCATGCAAAACTGAGGAGACTCAAGGAATTAAAAAAATTAAAAAAAAAAACATACTAGGCAAGAATTAGCAGTTTACTTTCTGGACTATGAGCCTAAACTTTCTTTCTTATCTATATAAATATTACCTAAATCTCCATTTTTCTCTGTCTTAGCATTCTTAGACATAGTGTCACTGTCACATAGAACAAAACACTTTAAGTTTTCCTGCAGATAACATGAATCTCAAATATCAGCAGAGTATCATCTTTATTGTGATGTGTTACAGTCAAAGAAAAATATAAACTTTGTATCCTCAGTGGGATTTTCTTTCTGAAAAACGCTGAAAGTCTATTATAAAGTGTGTCATAAAAATCTCTCCCTCAGCCCTAGATTAGTCCATAATTACCTAGTGATCCAATGCGAAGTATGGTGTTATTACAGAAAACTCACATCCTCTTGCAAAAGAAGAAATCTCAGTAAGACCTAAAGAAATAATAGGGGTCTTATTTCACATTTGTTCTTTTCTAGAAGAAGATGAGAGCTATGTTAGACTCATTCAGGTTCTCAAATATAAACCAATCTCTCAAAGAATTCCCAGCACTTCTGAGTGCAATATAACTTACCTGTGTCACACACACACTTCAATATTATATATTTTTAGGACCTCTCCATAAAAGAACTCATCCTGATGCCTTTTTACCATGTTAATATTCAATATTGTTAACTCAGAAGTATTTGGTTTTATAGTAAAGTCTTGTCTGATTAATGAGGTAATTATTTACTTTTATATACTTAAAAATACTCTGACTTCTTTACTATCTTTAAAGGTCAGATAAAAATGCTGGAAATTTGAAAATATGGGTGGATATAATAAAGCAGGTTTAGGTTTCTGCACTATCCAGACAGGAGTCCACATGTGTTGCTCTGGGTTCCCATGGTAACTTAAATGGAAACTTTCACAATGTCGAGAGTCCTTGATGTCCTGCAAATGAAGGAGGAGGATGCCCTCTAGTTCCTAGTAGCTGGAACCTGCTAGGTGGCACCAACCCTTCCAAATGGAACAGTACATCTATAAAAGGAAAACTGATGACATCTACATCCTAAATCTGAAGAGGACCTGGGAGAAGCTTCTGCTGACAGCTTATGCCATTGTTGCCCTTGAAAACTCTGCTGATGTCAATGTCAGGTCATCCAGGAATCCTGGCCAGTGGGCTGTGCTGAAGTTCGCTTCTGCCACTGGAGCTACTCCTATTGCTGGTCACTTCACTACTGAAATCCTCACTAACCAGATCCAGGCAGCCTTCTGGAAGCCACGGCTTCTGGTTACTGATCTCAGGGCTGACCATCAGCCTCTCACAGAAGCATCTTTTGTTAAGCTGACTATCATTACTCTATGAAGCACATATTCTTCTCTGTGCTGTGTGGACATTTTCATCCCACACAGCAAAAATGTAGCTCACTTAGTGGGTTTGATGTGGTGGATGATGGTATGAGTTGGCTGTGTCCCCACCCAAATCTCATGTTGAATTGTACTTCCCATAATCCACACATGTCATGGGAGGAACCCAGTGGGAGATAATTGAATTGGGGGGAGGTTTCCCATGTCTTGTTCTCCTGATAGTGAGTGGTGCTTTTTCCCCTTTTGCTCGGCACTTCTCCTTGCCGCTGCCATGTGAATAAGGATGTGCTTCCTTCCCCTTCTGCCATGATTGTAAGTTTCCTGAGGCCTCCCCAGTCATGCCAAACAGTTAGTTAATTAAACCTCTTTCTTTATGAATCACCCAGTCTTGCGCATGTCTTTATTAGCACTGTGAGGAGCAGAGTTGCTTGAACATCTATGATAACTTGCCACAGCTCTAGTTAAGGGCAAATTCAGAATTCAAAGCCAGGAGGAGTCCAAGGCCAAAGGCCACTTTCATGACCATTATAATTCTCCACTCCCAGGCAGTATGGACAGATATAGAAATTATCCATTGAAAGTTTATGGAGTCAGAGAAATTTCATGAATTTTACAGTTTTTTTTATTTAGTAACTAGCAGGATTTTGTTAAGATTAATAATTTGGGCTCCAGAGCCAACTTTACTGGGTTCAAATACACTTATTAAAAATAAATGAGGTTATACATTACTGAGTGGTAATGTAAATTGACAAAACTTTCCTGAGTAAAATGTGGTAAAATGCATCAAAAGCTTTAAACATGTTAAAATCATTGTCCCAGGAATTTTACTTATAGTTTCATTTAAAGAAAATTTCTATAATGTACACAATAATTAATTACAAATGCATTTAATTTCATTGTTGTTTTGAAACAACCTAAGTGTACAACAATAGGGGATTGATTAAATGAGTAATAGGAACTTCATATATCACAGGGGAATGCCTCCTTCCTCACCTTTGTTTTGTGGCATCCTCCGCAGTCTGCCTGGCTTCCTTTTCCACCACTTCCTCATCCCCAGAGCAGAGGACCACCAGCTTTACAGTGGTTGGTGTGTTACAGGTATTGGGTAGACATGATCAAAGTTTCTCTGCTTGGAGAAGTTGCTTCTTTTCTTCTTTCCTCTAGCCAGGGCCAGTGCAGGGCAGGGATTTCCTGCTCCCTGGCTTTAAGCTTTCCCTGAAGTGGGTTCTTCTCACAGCTCAACAAACTTCCAAAGGATGCAGTGAGCAAGCCAATTTTTTCTCTCATTGTAAGCTGTGCCTGCCAATTGTGCCTTAATTAGGAATAGGGTGATATTCTGGTTCTCCACTTGCTGTCTATTTTTCAATTGAATTGGGTAGAAAAGACAGGTGCTACTTACTGAGTGCTCTCAAAGACCCTCAAAAACACTGAGGAGAATATTATAGCCATTAAAACTGACATATGAAAAATAACATACTTATGGTTGGAAAAGGTCATGACATTTTAAAGCAAAAAAGCAGGTTACACAAAAATGTGTAATACACAGTTAAGAAAACTGGGGGGATAGCAATACATTGTGTTTATTTTTCTCTTGCTTATTCTGCATTCTCTAAATTTTTCTACAAATATTTGTGTTGTTAAAAATAAGAATAAAAACCTATATTTAACAAAACAATACAACAAAGGAGGAGAGTTTATTTAACTTTATGAGTCTCAGTTTTCTCCTCCCCTAAAATCCAAAATAACCCTCTTTGGGTTGTTGCGAAGACTTCATTGACTGATCTATGAAAAAGGGCTTGCAATTGTGTGCGTCATAGGTAGTGACCTGTTTTAAACTTTCAGTCTCATTTTATAACTATAATTTTGATACCTTCCCAACTTGGCCTAGTTATAGTGTAAAAACTATAGATTCCTTTTCATTAATTTTAATAGTCACTACCACTTTAGTATCAATTATACAAGTGCAAAACAAAAACAAAAAATCGTTATTCAATTGCCTGCTGCCAATATTGGTGAGATATTTGACCTCTAGGCTCAAGTATGATTTTGTTTCATAACAACAGTATTCAAAATTGTTCAAGATGTAGCTGGCATTATAAAATTTTAGATGATTTTCTTCCATAAGCCAAAGGTAAATTAAGATTTCTTTCCTCTTCATAAAGGAAAAAACCTATTTTCAGAGTTAATATGACAGTGGCTATGGCTATAGCTCTCTTTTACTTCAAGAAAAAAAAGTAGAGAATGGTATGGTGTATTTGGTATAAATAAAGGAAACATGAGGATGAGACAGAAAACACGTTCAAGAAGAAGTAATCTTCTCCCCTTTGACAGCCAAAACACAGGTACATTTTTAGCCTCATTTGGTTTCTAAGACAGTTCTTTTTAAACAAAGAAAAAAAAATCATGTTTTGCACCCTCAGTCTCTTCAATGCATGGTAAATCAGTAGCAAAGTAATGATGAATGTGGAAATTAATCAAAAGCAAAACTATAGTTTTTACACGTTTCTTAGTGAATTAATGATTTCCCTTTATTACAGTAAATGTGTCAAGACCATAAAATGTGAACAAAAATTTAAAGTGTAAGATTAAATGCTGTTGAAACTTCGCCTGACCCTTATTAATGCAACACTGGGCTTAAGCAGAAACCTGGAATAGAAATAGAAATTATAAGAAAATGTTACAGCCAGAAATTTTCCAGTAAAGGCCTAAAAAAAAATGAAGTAAATGACAATAGCTTTAAAAGATAAGTCAGGGGAAGAGCCATCACAATTCAATTTTAAACAAGGCCAGGGGCAGAAAATGGTACCTATAAAGAATCAAATGTAACTGAGAAAAATAATCTTGTAATAAGTCAAAGAGTGGTTTTGAAGGAGAAGATTCAATAATCCAGTTGTTAGCTCTTAGCAGGAATCCATTAAAGGAGACATGCACTAAACGCTCTGCTTGAGCAAAACTATGTTTCTTAAGGTAGAAAAGTTAGGAACAGTGCAAATGCTTTGACTAAATGAACTGATCACATTGGTCAAACAAGAATGTTTTGGAAAACTATACATACTTCTTCAAAATAGAAAAGGGGAGTAGGGCTATTCGGGGAACCAATGACTCAAAAATTCCCATGGAAAATAAGTGTGCTTAATTTTATTTTTTAAATGTATTTTTAGTCCCAGTATGAGCAAGGCTCTACAATAGATTCTGCAGAATAAAAAAGTAGAAAACAAGTGGGCCCTCTTGTTGAAGAGTTCATTGCCTAGTACAAGGTGTGAAGATGCCTGGAAGAGGGAGGAACCAGCTCTACCTAGAAGTTAGAAAACTTTTCCTAGCTCAGGGTGTGAGACAAGAAGACAAGTTTTAAGTAGAAGGGTTTCCAGGCTGAGAGTCTAACATAGGCAAGACATGGAGTCATGTTCTAGGCAGGCTGATTATATATTCCTGATTAACCTGCAATATAAGAAGTCATTGAGAAAGTGATTGAAAATATAACAGGCCAGAAATGCAGGTGAGAGGTAATTAAAAACTTTGATGTCCTGGTAAGAAGTTTGAACTTAAACCTACACTAGTTGCAATCCACTTATGCAGGGAAATGGAATATGTTCAGCACCATGGTTTAAAAAAGGTTACTCTGATATCAGTGAAAAGTGAGACAGCCTATTGTAATGTTGAAAAGCTCATGCTTTAGAGAGAGGCAGATCTGGACCCAAATCATAGCCTTAATTTAAACCTTTAAGCCCTAAGCAGCCTTCAGTTTTTTCATACTTAAAAGTTGGATAATAGTATCTATGCTTGGAGTACGGGGGGGTAAGGGAGACGGTATGAGTGTTAAGAGACTAATGAGACAGAAAGTTAACAAGGATATCCAGGAATTGAACTCAGCTCTGAGCCAAGCAGACCTAATAGACATCTACAGAACTCTCCACCCAAATCAACAGAATATACTTCTTCTCAGCACCACATCGCACTTATTCCAAAATTGACCACATAGTTGGAAGTAAAACATTCCTCAGCAAATGTAAAAGAACAGAAATTATAACAAACTGTCTCTCAGACCACAGTGCAATCAAACTAGAACTCAGGATTAAGAAACTCACTCAAAACTGCTCAACTACATGGAAACTGAACAACCTGCTCCTGAATGACTACTGGGTACATAACAAAATGAAGGCAGAAATAAAGATGTTCTTTGAAACCAATGAGAACAAAGACACAACATACTAGAATCTCTGGGTCATATTTAAAGCAGTGTGTAGAGGGAAATGTATAGCACTAAATGCCCACAAGAGAAAGCAGGAAAGATCTAAAATTGACACCCTAACATCACAGTTAAAAGAACTAGAGAAGCAAGAGTAAACACATTCAAAAGCTAGCAGAAGGCAAGAAATAACTAAGAGCAGAACAGAAGGAGATAGAGACACAAAAAAACCCTTCAAAAAATCAATGAATCCAGAAGCTGGTTTTTTGAAAAGATCAACAAAATTGATAGACCACTAGCAAGACTAATAAAGAAGAAAAGAGAGAAGACTCAAATAGACGCAATAAAAAATGATAAAGGGGACATCACCACCAATCCCGCAGAAATACAAACCACCATCAGAGAATACTATAAACACCTCTATGCAAATAAACTAGAAAATCTAGAAGAAATGGATAAATTATTGGAAACGTACACCCTCCCAAGACTAAACCAGGAAGAAGTTGAATCCCTGGATAGACCTATAACAGGCTCTGAAATTGGGGCAATAATTAATAGCCTACCAACCAAAAAAAGTCCAGGACCAGACGGATTCACAGCTGAATTCTACCAGAGGTACAAGGAGGAGCTGGTACCATTCCTTCTGAAACTATTCCAATCAATAGAAGGAGAGGGAATCCTCCCGGACTCATTTTATGAGGCCAGCATCATCCTGATACCAAAGCCTGGCAGAGACACAACAAAAAAAGAATTTTAGACCAATATCCCTGATGAACATCGATGCAAAAATCCTCAATAAAATACTGGCAAACTAAATCCAGCAGCAGATCAAAAAGCTTATCCACCATGATCAAGTGGGCTTCATTCCTGGGATGCAAGGCTGGTTCAACATACGCAAATCAATAAACATAATCCAGCATATAAATAGAACCAAAGACAAAAACCACATGATTATCTCAATAGATGCAGAAAAGGCCTTTGACAAAATTCAACAACGCTTCATGCTAAAAACTCTCAACAAATTAGGTATTAATGGGACGTAACTCGAAATAGTAAGAGCTATTTATGACAAACCCACAGCCAATATCATACTGAATGGGCAAAAACTGGAAGCAATCCCGGTGAAAACTGGCACAAGACAGGGATGCCCTCTCTCACCACTCCTATTCTACATAGTGTTGGAAGTTCTGGCCAGGGCAATCAGGCAGGAGAAGGAAATAAAGGGTATTCAATTAGGAAAAGAGGAAGTCAAATTGTCCCTGTTTGCAGATGACATTATTGTATATTTAGAAAACCGCATTGTCTCAGCCCAAAATCTCCTTAAGCTGATAAGCAACTTCAGCAAAGTCTCAGGATACAAAATCAATGTGCAAAAATCACAAGTATTTTTATACACCAATAACAGACAAACTGAGAGCCAAAGCATGAGTGAACGCACATTCACAATTGCTTCAAAGAGAATAAAATACCTAGGAATCCAACTTACAAGGGATGTGAAGGACCTCTTCAAGGAGAACTACAAACCACTGCTCAATGAAATAAAAGAAGCCACAAACAAATGGAAGAACATTCCATGCTCATGGATAGGAAGAATCAATATCATGAAAATGGCCATATTGCCCAAGGTAATTTGTAGGTTCAATGCCATCTCCTTCAAGCTACCAATGACTTTCTTCACAGAATTGGAAAAAACTACTTTAAAGTTCATATGGAACCAAAAAAGAGCCCACATTGTCAAGTCAATCCTAAGCCAAAAGAACAAAGCTGGAGGCATCACGCTACCTGACTTCAAACTATACTACAAGGCAATAGTAACCAAAACAGCATGGTACTGGTACCAAAACAGAGATATAGACCAATGGAACAGAACAGAGCCCTCAGAAATAATACCACACATCTACAACCATCTGATCTTTGACAAACCTGACAAAAACAAGAAATGGGGAAAGGATTCCCTATTTAATAAATGGTGCTGGGAAAACTGGCTAGCCATATGTAGAAAGCTGAAACTGAATCCCTTCCTTACACCTTATACAAAAATTAATTCAAGGTGGATTAAAGACTTACATGTTAGACCTAAAACCACAAAAACCCTAGAAGAAAACCTAGGCAATACCATTCAGGACATAGGAATGGGCAAGGACTTCATGCCTAAAACACCAAAAGCAATGGCAACAAAAGCCAAAATTTACAAATAGGATCTAATTAAACTAAAGAGCTTCTGCACAGCAAAAGAAACTACCATCAGAGCAAACAGGCAACCTACAGAATGGGAGAAAATTTTTGCAATCTACTCATCTGACAAAGGGCTAATATCCAGAATCTACAAAGAACTCAAACAAATTTACAAGAAAAAAACAAACAATCACATCAAAAAGTGGGTGAAGGATATGAATAGACACTTCTCAAAAGAAGACATTTATGCAGCCAACAGACATATGAAAAAATGCTCATCATCACTGGCCATCAGAGAAATGAAAATCAAAACCACAATAAGATACCATCTCACACCAGTTAGAATGGCGATCATTAAAAAGTCAGGAAACAAGAGGTGCTGGAGAGGATGTGGATAAATAGGAACACTTTTACACTGTTGGTGGGACTGTAAACTAGTTCAACCATTGTGGAAGACAGTGTGGCGATTCCTCAAGGATCTAGAACTAGAAATACCATTTGACCCAGCAATCCCATTACTGGGTATATACCCAAAGGATTATAAATCATACTGCTATAAAGGCACATGCACATGTATGTTTATTCACAATAGCAAAGACTTGGAACCAACCCAAATGTCCATCAATGATAGACTGGATTAAGAAAATGTGGCACATATACACCATGGAATACTATGCAGCCATAAAAAAGGATGAGTTCATGTCCTTTGTAGGAACATGGATGAAGCTGGAAACCATCATTCTGAGCAAACTATCGCAAGAACAAAAAACGAAACACTGCATGTTCTCACTCATAGGTGGGAATTGAACAATAAGAACACTTGGACACAGGAAGGGGAACATCACACACTGGAATCTGTAGTTGGGTCAGAGGAGGGGGGAGGGAGAGCATTAGGAGAAATATCTAATATAAATGACGAGTTAATGGGTGCAGCACACGAACATGGTACATTTATAAATATGTAACAAACCTGCACGTTGTGCACATGTACCCTAGAACTTAAAGTATAATAATAATAATAATAAAAAGAGACTAATGAAAGGACTCAGGAATCAGAAAGGGAGAAAGGGTAAACCTATTCAAGAAACTCAAAAGAAAATAAAATCCAGGACTTTCTGAGTGGTATGAGGTGGAAAAGCTGGGGAAAATGGAAGATGAAACCGAGCTTTCTGTTGTTGGGGATGGAGAAAGATGGTGTATCATTCTCTTGGCCACAGAGACTGGTAGCATTTGGAATCAGAAAGGTTAATGGAAGAGAAATTAGAACTTTCAAACCAAAATTTAACTATAAAATGTGACTATGTCTCTGGGAGAGGAGACATGTATTTCAGAGACATCATGTCTGCATTCTATATTCCACATTCTTCCCCAAACATAAATATAGAGAAAAAAATGAAAGATGTGAAAAATCACATACAGAGATAATAAATGTGCATTTTAAAACACAGTGAATTGATGCTTGAAGGATTATGATAACTAAAAATGATTTATAAAGAAATTCAAAAATCGTATTTACTTTTCAGTATACTATTAATAATGCAATATTTCTCCATGTTTGATTTCACTGATATTTTTGACTTCTTTAAGATTCTGGAAAACATAAAACACGGTTATGAGTAATTATGTTTTTCAATTTGCTTATCTGTACACACAAATAATGGTTCTTTCAAGCATCTATAAACAATCCAGTCTCAAGTACAAATGGGTTTAAATGTAACATGTTAATTTGCTAAAATTCTACAACATTTCCCAAGAAAATAACAGTTTTAGCATTTTTACCAAGTGGCTTTTTTATTTTTTTCACTGCACTTTAGAAGTCAGCCCTGTGCAATTTAATCTTTCAAAGAATCCTTCTGCTGATAAACTACAGAGAGTACATGTGGCTGATTTGACCCAAACCTTTCAGTTAATAAATATGAGACAGAATCTTATAAAAGGAAATGCAATCAGAATTTTCACAGAAGGTTTTTCCTGAAGGATAAAAATAATAATGGTGTTTGACTCACTTTTATACCTGGGAGCAGAAGATGTCCTTGCCAAATATCTTTTTGGAAGAGCTCTAGTTGGACAGACACTTCCAAAAGATAAGCAAAGCATGAAAGATATGAACATCGGACAAAACGAAAGGAAATGAAAGCATTTCCTAAAGCATTTAAAATGATGACATAAAAAAGTTTGTTTATATTTATCAAACATAAGTTGGGTGACTTTTTAAAAATGGAAAGATGAACTTCAGGATATTTATTACCAAGCTGGTCCAGACAGCTTGCATTCATTCATTTACTTGTTCATTCATTCATTTATTGTTTTAGTTACTACTTACGAGGTGAGTCTAAAATAAGGACAAGGCACCATAATATTTTCAAGCAAATACTCTCTAGTTTACTGTATGCATTATTTGGCCTACTAAAATTAGCTTGCAATAACTCATCCAAACACAGCCTTACTAGCTCCATGATTGTTTAGTGGAATAAGGATGGAACATGGGAGTATGATGTAAAATGGGCTATATCCTTGATATCTCATGAGCACCACTCTGGCACAGGCTTCTACCAGCAAGGGTATCCCAGTAGCAGCAGACAGGCATGAAGTTTTTCATGATGTGCATCTGACAGTGATACCATGTGATATTGATAAGCAATGGCATTGGCATCTGGAATCTGTCTCACTGGGTTTGGCAGAAGGACCTAGAGACAGTATTAGATTTTTTTCCCAAAAGAGAAAATGGGGTTTTCCAATGATTAATTGAAAAAAAAAAATATATATATATACACACAATAAAACAAAACAGGAGTGACCAGGTACACATCCTATGTTGGCAGAACAGGTGAAAGTGGTTTGGTGTATTTCAATTTTACCAAAATGGGAACAGGCTGCCTATATTATTTTCTATTTTTTTTCTACTTAATACATCGTGAGCATCTTCCCATGTCTGTGTCTATTATGGTATGCTCATTTTTAAGGGCAAGGAACTTCTTTTTGGTCCAAGCTTCTTTTTCTTCTAAAGTTCAATATTATGCTGCCATTCCACCAAGGCTTTATGGAAGATAATTTCCATTAATTTGACAGGTCATTGTCTTGTCAGTTTCAGATAATTAAGGACTAGCCATTAGTTCCTGTACCTATTGTGTAATCTCTTTTGTCTCATCAGGTTTGTGAATTTTGCAGTGCTTGCCAATCTACAGTTAGCTTAATTAAAATCAATGGAGTTGAAAGTTGGTGTGTTCTCTTTCTCTTTCTCTAAAGTATTCCATTTTCCAAAACACCATAAGCAAATAAATTGGCATGTGGAACTTTCTGCAGCCATATAATAGTCAAACACACTTAACCGTGTAAATTTAGCTACCAGCAAAATTGTCTAATTTTGCATTTGCTAGCTAGCCAGTAAACTCCAGGTTTCTTGCATCAGAGGGGGATGCTAACCCACAGATTTTACAGTTCAGAAGTATTATTAGTAAATACCCTCAACAAAAGGCTCAGAAAGTGAAATCAGTTCCAATGCTATCATCTTTCCTCAAGCTGAGCTACGGTGTTCAATTCTCCAAATTTGAGGTAGCTGGCAAAGACGTTGCTGTTGTTTTCTGGATTTAAGCTGGGAAGATAGTAACTGGAGCCTAGGAGAAGAATTTTCAACTAATCAAATGGTGTTAATATAAGACTTTCAAAAATACTAATCACAACATTTCTGTAATTTGCAACTGGCATCAATTGATATATCTTTGATTTTCTCTATAAAAACAAAGACTGAACTGGCCAGATTAGCAACTCAGAGTTATGCTGATCTTCCAGGCTGGAGGCCTCGCCCAAGATAACATCATGAACATTTTATATCTCCTACAGAATAACAGTACACTTGCAATCTGCCAGACTCTATGACTGAAATGCAGAAACAATAAAACAATCATTAGTAACTCTGATTTTGCCACACGCCTGAGCAGCTCAAATTTCTTGACGGTTATGACCCTAAACATCTGCTTGAACTAATATATACTTTGTTATGCATATCTATTTAAAACGTATTTCAATAAACATGCATAGTGAAATATATTACTGTCTGTAGTAAAAGGGAAATCCCAATATATTAATGATGTAATGAACTGTAAAAATAATCAATATTGGTTTTTCTGCATGTTGACCAATATATGAACCTATGTTTTATCTTCATTCTCATTCTTTCAGAATAAAAAGCAACATCTATTTAGTACATGCAAATAACTTGTGGCAGTTTTCAAGAATATACAAATCAAATTAATTTAGAAGCATATCAGACACCCTACCTATGCAAATGGTATTATTTTGTTAATCTAGTTCTAAACTATATGTTTAACATCATTATACTTCAGGATTATTTTGAATCCTTTTATTTATCAATAATAGAACTTTCTAAGATTTTAAATATAAAATACAAAGCTACCATCTTGAAGTTGTATTTCCTTTATTACATGATAATTAGTTGCATAATTAAAACATGTGGGGTCAAAGGTCAGATATTACAATCCAAGGGATATCACAAAGGATATTGTATTTTTTGCCCCAAATACGTATATTAACAGCAATGGCTGTTACACAGAACATTAAACTAAAAGAGTCAAATGGAAACTGGAATAACATTTGTTGCAAATAATAGGTATAGTGAAATTTCAAGATGATTCTGAAAATATTTTATTTAACTGAACTTATGATAACATATCTGAGTGAATAACTGAGAGTGCATTCAAGGAAGTAAATAGCTCTATTAAAACAGTAACCTGATGATGAAGACTCAACATATGAAGACAGTGATATCCGTGGATGCCTTTCAGACACTGTGTTATTCTTTGGTGGTGACTCCATTATTCTTTATGAATAATACAATTAGTGCAATTTTGAGTCTTTCCATCCTTGCCAATTATCCTAACAGTGGAAAATTTTCTGTTTAACACAAAAATACTAAGAACTCATTTGAGAGTATCTTCACTGAGTGGTTTATCAAGCACTGGAATAGCTCCAGAATTAGGAGTTAAATACTTCCCAAGAGAATTCAGTCCACTCTAATATCACTTCGGTGTTAGAAAAAATACCCTTGCACTGACTTGAAAATTATATCCATAGATCTTTTATCCATGACACCTGGGGTCACAAAGAAAAAATATTTTTCTTATTCTTAATTGATATACAAATAGAAGTGTGCTCAAAATAGTAGCAACAATGTATTTCATTACATATGCTTTTATATATAATATATATAAAAATTTCATATATATTACATATATACATTTTATTACACGTGATTATGTAATAAAATATATTGATGCTACTATTATGTTATTTTATGAGTGCTTATATATAAGCACTTATATATGCTTATATATTAGTGAATGATAACAATGATAAAAGTGACAAGGAGGGAAGAATTATGATTATTTTATTATTTTAAGGTACTCACACACTACCTGTGAAGTGGTATAATGTTGTTTGAACGTGGATTTTAATTAGTTATAAATGTATCTTGGAAACTCCAGTGCAACCACTGAGAAATGTAAAAAAGAAGCATAACTGATATGCTAATAATAAGGGAGAGAAAATGGAATCATACAAAATGCTCAATTAAAGCCATGAAAGGCAGTAAAATAGTGGAAGACAAACTAAGAACAAAGAAAAAGGGAAACAAATATAAAACTAACAAATATGATAGGTATTAATTCAACTAAATCATTAGTTACTTTAAACATCAATGTTCTAAATATATCAGTTAAAAGGCAAAGATTGTAAAAATGGATTTAAAAAAACCTTCCCAATTGTATGTTGCCTACAAGAAACATGCATTAACTATAAGAGCACATACTGAAAGATATACTATGTTGATGCTAATTTTTAAAATGGGAACAGCTATATTAATTTTAAACAGACTAGACTTTAGAGCAAAGAAAGTTACCAGGGCTAAAGATGGGTATTACATAATGATAAGGGGTCAGTTCCTTATAAAGACATGACAATCCTTAATGTATAGATGCCTAACAATGGAGCATCAAAAAACATGAGGCAACATCTAATAGAACTGCAAGGAGAAAAACATGAGTCCACTATTATACTTGGTGACTTCAACACCCCTCTATCAAAAATGGACATATCAAGCAGACAGAAAAAAGAGTAAACACAGCACCGTCAATTAACTGGATATAATTGACATCTACTGACTGTCTTATGATTAAAGAACACACTATTAAAGAACACGTGGATGAAAGAAGAAATCTTAACAACAACAAAATAAGTATTTTGAACTAAATGAAAATGAAAATACAACTTACAAAGTTTGTGGGATGTGTCGAAAGCAGTGCTTAGAGAGAAATTTATAGCATTGAATACATGTATTAGAAAAGAAATATTTAAAATTAATCACCTTATCTATAACAAACTCACAGCCAACATTATACTTAATGGGGAAAAGTTGAAAGCATTCCCCGTGAGAACTGGAATAAGACAAAGATGCCCACTTTCACCACTTGTATTCAACATAGTACTGGAAGTCCTAGCCAGAGCAATCAGACAAAAGAAAAATAAAGGGCATCCAAATCAGTAAAAAGGAAGTCAAAGTGTTCTTGTTTGCTGATAATATGATCTTATACCTAGAAAACCTTAAAGACTCATCCAAAATGCTTCTAAAACTGGTAAATGAATTCAGTAAAGTTTCAGGATACAAAATTAATGTATGCAAATCAGTAGCGCTGATATACACCAACAGCAACCAAGCTGAGAATCAAATCAAGAACTCAACCTCTTTAACAATAGCTGCAAAATGCCACAAAAATATAACAACAAAAAAATTTAGTAATATACTTAACCAAGAAGGTGATAGACCTCTATAAGGAAAACTGCAAAACACTGCTGACAGAAATCATAGACAACACAAACAAATGGAAATACATACCACGCTCATGGATGGGTAGAATCAATATTGTGAAAATGACCATACTGCCAAAAGCAATCCTCAAATTTAATGCAATTCCCATCAAAATACCACCATCATTCTTCACAGAATTAGAAAAAACAATCCTAAAATTCATATGGAACCAAAAAAAACCCACAGGGCCAAAGCAAGACTAAGGAAAAAGAACAAATCTGGAGACATTACATTACCTAATTTCAAACTATACTATCAGGCCATAGTCACCAAAACGGCATGGTACTGGTATAAAAACAGGCATATAGACCAATGGAACAGAATAGAGAACCCAGAAATAAACCCAAATACTTATAGTCAACTGATCTT
The DNA here is from genome assembly GCF_000001405.40 of Homo sapiens. NCBI lineage: Eukaryota > Metazoa > Chordata > Mammalia > Primates > Hominidae > Homo > Homo sapiens. Next base: position 10,594,505 of record NC_000022.11, read on the forward strand.
TGACAAAGCAAACAAAAACATAAAATAGGGAAAGGAACCCTATTCAACAAATGGTTGCCGGGATAATTGGCAAGCCACATGTAGAAGAATGAAACTGAATCCTCACCTCTCACCTTATAAAAAAATCAAATTAAGATGGATCAAAGATTTAAATCTAAGACTTGAAACCATAAAAATTCTAGAAGATAACATTGGAAAAACCCTTCTAGACACTGACTTAAGAAAACACTTCATGACCAAGAACCCAAAAGCAAACACAACAAAAACAAAGATGAATAGATGGGAATTGATTAAACTAAAAAGCTTCTGCACAGCAGAAGAAATGATCAGCAGAGTAAACAGGCAACCCACAGAGTGGGAGAAAATATTCACAACCTGTGCAACAGTCAAAGGACTAATATTCAGAATCTACAAGGAACTCAAGCAAATCAGCAAGAAAAAAACCAAACGATTGCATCAAAAAGTGGGCTAAGGACATGAATAGATAATTCTCAAAAGAAGATATACAAATAGTCAACAAACACATGAAAAATGCTCCACATCACCGATTATCAGGGAAATGCAAATCAGAATCACAATGCGATACCACCTCACTTCTGCAAGAATTGTCGTTATCAAAAAATCAAAAAAATAGATATTGGCATGGATCTGATGAAAAGGGAACACTTTTACACTGTTAGTGGGGATGTAAACTAGTACAACCACTATGGGAAACCGTGTGGAGATTCCTTAAAGAATTGAAAGTAGATCTATCATTTGATTCAGCAATCCTACTCCTGGGTAACTACCCATAGGTAAATAAGTCATTATTCAAAAAAGATACTTGTACACACATGTTTATAGCAGCACAATTCACAATTGCAAACATATGGAACCAGCCCAAATGCCATCAATCAACAGTGGATAAAGAAAATGTGATATAGATATATGTGTGTATATATATAATATATATATATATATATATATACAATGAAATACTACTCAGCCATACAAAGGAACAAAATAATGACATTTGAGCAACCTTGGAATTGGATACCATTATTCTAAGTGAAGCAACTCAGGAATGGAAAACCAAACATCATATGTTCTCACTCATAAGTGGGAGCTAAGCTATGATGATGCAAAGGCATAAGAATGATATAATAGACTTTGGGGATTTTGGGGGAAAGGGTGGGAGGAGGTTGAGGGATAAAACACTACATAGATATTGTGTACAGTGTACGCTGCTTGGGTGATCAGTTCACCAAAATCTCAGAAATCGCCAATAAAGAATTTATTCATGTAGCCAAACACCACCTGTTTCCCAAAAACTTATTAAAATTAAAAAAAATTAATCACCTTAGAAAAGTAGAACAAAAGCAAATTAAATCCAAAGTAAGCATAGGAAAATAAATTAAAATTAGAGTAGAAATAAATGAAATAAAAATGGGAAATCAATAGAGAAATCAACAAAACCAGAAGATGATTTTTTGAAAAGTTCAATTAAAAAAAAGCCTCTGGCCAGGTTAACTACGAAATCAGATATTCAACATTATTCACACAAACTAAAATAACTTAAAATGGTATATTTAAAATATAACTGTGGTGTACAAAGGCATTGCAGTATACAAATATATTGCAGGTAAAAATCACAATATTTAAAATATTTACCAAAGCCTACTTGACTGTGTACACACTGCCTCACTTCAGCAAGTTTTTTAAAATAATGACTATACTAAATTAACTGCTTGAATTCAAACCTATTCTTTTTCTTTAGGTGAAATTTTTAATTCAAATTTCTGAAATCCAATAATGTCACCTAGGCCAATAATAGATCAATCATGGTGCCTGTCAGGTTCTTTCTGAGCCCTGTTAGCAGCTCATTTAAGTGTCATCCATTAATACACACTGCCTTGACACCTCCAATGTATTTTTTGTTAGATTAGTTTTCCCATGCATTGGGTCCATTATCAATCCTTAATAATGAGAAAAACATGAAATTTAAAATTTAAAATTATCTTTCAAACATTGGAAGAGGAAAGGATGGTTTTAATTCCCCAGGTCGTTAAATGAGTAATGAAGCAAGTTTTACATTCTAACCGTGAGACATATTAGCTGTTAATTTGAAAAGGAAACATTTAGTTTCCAGTCTTTGGGGACCTCACTGCAAACTTTTATTTACAAAGCTAGTTGCACGTGTCTATTATTGTGCATCGTTTTTGAGCTTTTGCATTATATTTTGCATCACCACAGTTAAGGGTAAAATAACAGGACTATGGCATCTGTGTTTAGATTTAGATAGACAAATGGGGAAATAGTGCAGAGAAAAGCCAACTAAAGAAATTTTAATTGTTCCTTGTATAAAGCCCCAGTTTACAGAAAGGTTGAACCAATTCATTTCTGCAGCTTACATATCTAAATCTGTGACCATGTAGCATATGAAACAAATAGGGTATCCCTATTAATCACTGAGTTGTCAATATGAACATAAAGATTGGTGTGAATTCAGTGTCCTGCACAAAAGTCTTCAGTTAAAACAGAAGAGATATTATGGTGGTGGATTCCCCAGGATGTTCAACAAACAGAGAAGAGGCCAAAGCATGTTGTCTCAATCTTTCTTCTTGTTTTAGTCCATTCTCACACTGCTAAACGATACTACCCAAGAATGGATAATTTACAAAGAAAAGAGGTTTAATTGACTCACAGTTCCACATGGCTGGGGAGGCCTCAGGAAACTTACAATCATGGCAGAAGGAGAAAGCAAGCACATCTTACATGGTGGCAGGTGAGGGAACATGAGCAAAAGCAGGGAAAACTGCCTTATAAAGCCATCAGATCTCATGACAATTCACTCACTATCACGAGAACAGCATAGGGGAAACCACCTCTACGATCCAATCGTCTCCCATCAGATTCCTCCATCCACACGTGAGGATTACCGGTATTACAATTCAAGAGGAGGTTTGGGTGGGGACACAGCCAAAAAGTAACACTTTTTATTTATTACAATTTTATATCATCCCTAGCAAATTGTTCCAAATTCTTGCCCATCCTCCATCAATATCTAAAATTGCACTTGTAATTGAGAATACTTGCTAAGGTTTTACTTGTACTTGCATATAGAATGGACTCAAGATATGAACGCTGTTTGTCACGATTTTATAAATGAAGACAAAACAGGTATTAAATATTCACCCTGTTTTCTGGATGCTCAGTTTCATAATAAATGCCTGCCTTGGTTCATGCATCAGTACTGTTTCCACTTGGCTTCCTTGGACATCACTTTCTCTTAACTTTTCTCCTACCTCTCTGGCCCTTTTCTCTTGAACACTCTTGAGAATCCTACCTTATCTCCCTGCCCTCTTAAAATGTAAGTGCCTCAAGCTCTTGGTATTTCTCTTCCCCATTTGTGCTTTAGTAACTCAGTATTTTCTAGAGGCTGGCAGCATCCACATATATCTCCAGATAAGACCTCTGCTAGAAAAGCTAGACTCATACATATTTACCCCTTTGCTTTCTCCATTTGGATGTTGAATAACCATGTAGAAAATAACAAGTCCAAAACTCAGGTCCTGATTTTTCACCTTCGAATCAGCATCTCTCATATTTTTCCAACTCAGTAAATGACAGCTACATTCTGCCACATGCTAAAAACTCTTGGAGACATCTTCATTCAACCCTTTGTCTTGTATTCTACATCTGGTTTATCAGGTAAAGCAGTTACCTGTACCTTCAAAATACAGTTAAACAAAATCCTACCCTTTTTCTTGGTCCTCCCTGATATGATTCTGGTCCAACCCACTAAACTCTTTTGTCTGGATTATTAAAATAGTCTCCCTGATTCCTTTTTGCCACCCACAAAGCCAGAGAAATTCTGTTAAAACACAAGATTAATGCTGCATAATTCCTTTTCTCAAAATACTTTAAAGAGTGCTGATTTCAGTTACCTGGATATGTGTAAGACACAATTCCAAAACAGACTGGCTTAAAAAAAAATATGTATCACTCCGCTCAAGGTCCTGGGAACCAACTAGACTCAGCTGGGTTGTTTTGGTTTGGGATCTGTCATGTGATTGTAGTCAGATGGAGGTTGAGGCTGAGGTCATCTTTATGCCTTCCACAATCACAGGTTTTCATGACACAACTACGTGAAGGCTGGAACAGCTGCGATTTATCTGGCATCTCCTGTCCTACTTGTGAGATTTTTCAATGTGGTTTCTCCAATTCAGTGGCCTCAAGGTAGCCATATTACTTACATGGTAGTTGGTTTTCTCTAGAGGGAGGATACAAAGAAAACGGTGGAAGTTGTATGCTTTTTTATTAACTAGCCTTAGAGGTCGCATAGCATCATTTCTACCATAGTACATGTGTAGAAGAAGTCATAAGTCCAGCCAAAATGAAGTCAAGATGTAGAGACACCTCTCAATGGGAAGAAATCTAAAGAATATGCCACAGTTTTTTAAAACTACCCTACACTTCATCTCAATTAAAGCAAAAGCCAAAATTTTCTCAATGGTCTGCAGTGGGAAATTGTAGCAAATTTGACACTGCTTGCTTTTTAAAATCAAGTTGGATTAGAACAGTCACATGTATTGGTTTACATACAATGATGGCTATGTATTATAATGCCAAAGTTGAGTAGTTGTGACAGAGATAATGTGGCCTGCAAAGCTGAACCTGTTTATAATCTGGCCCCTTAGAAGGCAAGTTTACTAACCCCTGGTCTGCAGTTTTGAACACACACACCCTGCTCCCCTATTTGCTCTCTGAATTCATCTCTCTAGTACTCTGTTCCTCACTGTATAGTTTAGCATATGTGCCACCTTGCTGTTCCCTCTGCCTAGCATGCTTTTCCTTCAGATATCCAGCTGGCTCATTTCTGCATCTCTTTCATGCATTTGCTCAAATTTCATCTTTTCAGTGAGTCTTTTTCTGAATGCTCAATTTAAAATTTACCCCTATTTCCCAAAACTCCTTCTCTGCCTTCTCTGAGTGATTTCCCCCCACTTATAATATTTTCATATGCTATTGATTTAACTTATTTATTTTATTTATAGTCTATTTTCCTCATTAAAATGCAAGCTCCATTACATCAGGGATTGTTGTTTGTTTTGTTCTCTAATGCATCCCAGAGCCTACAACAGTGCTGACATGTAATAGGTCCTCAATAAACATTTGTTGAAGGGACAGAGGCATGCATGCAGTGACTAATGAAATAACACAAAATAAATATGTAAAATTCATAGGCAATATTATAAAATGAAATGTATTGGCTGTTTGGGGTTATGTAAGTGGAACATAGAAGTGAATTAAAGCTTTAAGTAAGAGGGAAGATCCTGATGTTAGTATTGATTCCCTTTTCCCCACGATGAATGATGTTTTGAAGATCTTGATGCTAACATTAGTTTAAGCTCATTCAATACTGTCATAGGAGAGAGAAAATCATTTGAGATCTTTGATATTAATATTCCAATCCCTCACCTCTGTCTGTTTGAACTCATCAATCACTTTGGGAATAAAACTGGAATAGTGTACAAATTCATGTTGAGGTGAGGGGTTTTAATATAGAAGATATTTTCTTCTTTCCCTTGATGTCTCAGAATAAAATGATGAAACCAGAAGGAGAGAGAAACTTTGATTTTTGTATTTCAAATTTCTATTATTTATTATTTAAGAGTATATGATTTGGAGTCAGGGTAAAATTGAGTCCTCACCTCAACTCTGTAATTTCACAGCTATTTGTTCTTAGAAAAATTCCTCAATGTTTCAGATCCTCAAGTTCTTTCTCGTTGAGAAAATGAAGACGGTAATATCCATCTCATGCAATTTTAGGAAAATTAAATAAAGTTAGATATTTTGAAAAATGTACCAAATTTAGAATAGTACCTGGTACATATCTTCTCAGTAATGATAAACAGAATATTTTCCCACATCTATTTTCAATAGTAATGACCATAATAGACAGAAATTTTTCATTTACTTGCAATGACCTTAAAAAACTAAATTCAACATAATGCCACCTCTAGAAAGAAGTCCATTAATAGTGGACAAATGTCTACTAAATATAACTTACATAAAAAGAAGTAAGAGATAATAAAACAAATGGGGTGAAACACCAAGACAGTTAAAAGTATTTGTCTTTGTGACTTGCCCATTTGAGCAGAAATTCTTTTCTGGATGTCAGAATGTAAGGAAAGTTTAGATGAAAAATTTCAGTGGTTCAGTTAGTTATAGATTCAGAGTTTTTGTTTATTTGTTTTGTGCTCAGTTGGTTCTTGTGTTTGTAGACATCACTCACATTACAAAAATAATAACAGAGAGAAAAGACTATGTTCTTCAAAACAAAAAGCTACTCAGTAGTGACTGGCACAGAAACCAAATCTCATGGATTATTTAAATTCAATCAAATGTTGTTTATTGATATCACTTATGTGTCAGATATTATGGGAAGCATTGAAGATAAAATAGTACATAAAATACACTTCTGTCTTTCTTAAAGTTCAATGATTTGTTGCCTAACTTTGAGAAATACTACCCTTCACCACAGAATAACAATTCACATCAGCATAACTAGGTCTTGGAGAAGTACTGCAATAAAGAAACTGTGTAACTTCCTTATCACTGAGTGTCTCAAACTTATTTGAGGAGAGTGCTTCTTTGTGTAACATCCACAACTAATATGCTAACACATTCATGTCCAATTTCATCATATCCTATCTCCACTGATTAGAGATCCTTCAAGTAACCCTGAGGTTATGTGCTTTACGTATTTGGCTTCTGACTAAGCATTGATTTAGAGATCAGTTTTCTCAGCAAAACTGACTTTGAAAACCACAAGCAAGAACTATAACCTTTGATCTTCACAGGCGTATGTGAGGGAAACAAATGACTGGCATGAGGTTGTGCAGCTGGTGAATTTGAAACTCAACCATATGAGTAAAAACAATTTGAGTAAGACACAATGAATTTAGACTTCATTTATTCTCATTTTGAAATAATTTGCAAAAGTGTTAGGCTAAGGATTTATATTTTCATTACCTATGAGGAAATAAAGCAAGCAAATTTGGACCAAAACTACAAAAACTAAAGAATTCAAAGTATCATCAAGTGCTTTAAAAGGCACATTTTCAGTATTCTCATCATCACACAAACACTTAAATTGAAATGACAAATTATTCAGTATGGCTGGTCAGAAGAGAGATTTGACTCAGAGACATCTGTTACTAGTTGTTATCTGTTATTATAGGAATTGCCATAATGAGACAAGCTCACTCATCATGGATTTCTATTGGTAAGAAGAAAAATAAGGGATTTTTGTGAGAAGACAATGCTGTCCTTTTAATGTTAGCATCAAAAGGTCCAGGATGAAACTTAATTATTTTTATATTTTCATACAACCATTTAGAGAGTTATCATGAATGAGCTGCCTTTTGAGGAGGGATCCCATTTTATAATCTGTTAGCTTCTTTTCCCAAGAAATTGATTGACCTAAGTGCCATACTATTTTGAGATGATCAATTTGGATTGGAAATTTTTAGAAACATGTTATTTCTAATTTCTTGCTCCTTTCTCAGGTAGAAGCAGAATAGTAGCTCACTTGCATAATGCTTGGCACATGATTTGTGCTCAATAATGGAGAGTTGCCATTACCATTATTAATAAAAATGCATATAAAACATATAATAATATATTGTTATTATACACAAAGAGCATACTAGATACCATGCCTCCGGATAGAAGTAGTACTTCTTTCTTAGCATCCAAATTTGTACATTGTACCTTTTTTTGCCTTATTACCTATAATACTTTTTAAATTTTGTGTGTTTACTTTTCTGTCTCACAGAATATAATAAGCATTCCTTGTGGATAAAAATGTTATCTTTTATCTCTGTATCCTTAACTATATTCTACAAATGTTTGCTGTAAGAATTAACAAAAACAAATAAATAAATTGTTAAACTACATTTGTTTTTTTTTAAAAGATAGCATCTGTGTGAAGAACCTACTGAATTCAATATGCATAGTGTTTCAATGATGTTGCAACATGGCCAGCTTGGAGTCCTCATAGCGTGTCGAGTTCTGAATATTCACACATCTTACAGGGCATCTAGTTTTCCCCAGAGCAAGCACTCCAAGCAATAGGAAATGGGAGCAGACTCTGCTTAAAATGTAAACTTTCAGCTGTCACCATGTCATTTCTACCACATTTTACTGATGAAGCAGTCACAGAGCTAACCCAGGTTCAAAGAGAGAAGCAATAAACCCCATCTTTTATGCATAAAGTGAGAAAGACATTGCAGTCATCATTAATTACCCACAGACCATTTAATCTATATCCTCATTAATGACATTTTCTCAGCTTGACATACTCTTGGCTTTGACAATTAACAAAAACAGAAGAAATAGAAGAAAAAAACCAATATGGTATGCAGTACTCATAATTACATTTTCATTTGTGTTGCTATCCTTGATTACTATACATATAAGAAATTATCTCTCAAGGAAATAAATCATCCTTGTATTGCTTCTGGAGATGAAAATCAATGAGTTTACCTTTTGCTACAAATATAGCCACTCTTTTTTTTTTCTTGTAGACATTAAACACCAATTTTTGGAGACAGTTTTGCATATACAAAGGAATCTGAGCAGCATACCTGACTCAATATTAATAAATGAAGTTGAAATAGGACCTGTGATTGGTCTGTGATGACAGAAAGCAAATAGCTTTTCCTCCTGATACAACTAAAAGATTACTTTGCTAAGCATTTATTTCAAAGATTGGCAAAGAATGTGTTATAACACAGGTCTGTAGGCATAATGGAAGAAATGCCTTGAGCGTCATTCAAAGGAAGGATAGAGAAAAAATATATATAGAATCAATGTATTTTAACAGTAACAGTCTTTTAATATTTATTAAAAATAAAATATTTTAATTTTAAAAAATCAATCTTTTAATTTTTTATTAAAATAGAAATTATAAGTCAAAAGTAGTGATGGACACATTATTTAGCAGAACATTCTTCAGAGACCACAGGAAAATCCAGGTTGTTGGAGGGTTAATGAGAAGTAAGAAAGGACGCAGCAGTGAATACATCAATTTAACCGTAGGAAAAAAAATGTTTACTGCTGATGAATTAACTTGGAGGCCCTCTATCTAGAAGAGGGGCATTTTTTCCTTGCTTAATAAAAGGGAGTTTATAAAACTTATAGCATCATTGTAATTGAGAAATGTATTTTGAAAAATGGAACAGAATAATAGGTTTTTCATAGATTAGAATAAACCACAGTGTTTAAATATTACATGTGTTTATGTAGTTTTAAAGACATGGAAAAAGTGCATAGCAAAATTAAAGTTGACATAGAAACTACACTTTACAGATCAAACTTTGACCAACTAGAATAGAAGGGCAAGGAGAGTCTGCAATGAGTTGATTAGCTCTGCTGCAGGAAATTGACCAACTGCAAGTGAACTACTGGGGGTATCGACGTTTTATGTGGATCTTTGTGAAGCACAAAACAAGATCAGCAAATCATAAAGAAACAAATAATGAAAGCTGACTTAGTTGGTTCAGGCTGCTATAACACATTACTGGGTGGCTTAAACAACAGAAATGTATTTCTTGCAGTTCTGGAGGCTGAAATTCTGAAAGCAGGGTGTCAGCATGGTTAGGTTCTGATGATCACCTTCTTCCATGGCTTCCTCACATGGTGGAAAAAGATAAAGAGGAAGCACACTCTATCCTGTGTCTTCTTATAAGGGCACTAATACCACTAATGAGTGCTCCACTCTCATGACCTAATTACCTGTAAAGGATCTACCTCCAAATGACATCACATTGGGAATCAGGCTTTAACATATAAATGTTGGGGGCATACAAGCATTCAGTTCATAATGAAAGCAAAAGAAACATTGAAAGAAATCAGCATTTTCTTATTCTTCTATCGCTTAGCCTAAAAGGTAGGCTTGATTTTAAATACCAGAAAGCAACCAACTATTTATACTTCAAAGTTATTTATAGTTTCAGGTACGTGTGTAGTCATGCATCACTTAATGACAGGGAAATGTTCTGAGAAATGAGTCCTTAGGTGATTTGTTGTGTGACCATCATAGAATGTACTTATGCTCTATGTATACCTGCATGATATAGCCTACTACACACCTAGGCTATGTGGTATAGAGCCTATTGCTCTTCGCTTTTAAGCCTGTATAGCTTGTGATTGTTCCAAATGCTGCAGACAATTGTAACACAACGGTAAGTGTTTATGTATATAAACATGTCAAAATAAAAAATGTACAGCAATAATATGATATTACATCCTTATGGAACCACCATGGTATATGCAGACCATTATTGAACTAAATTATTATATAATGAATGACTGTATGCATATTTATGTATTAACACACTAGCTATGCGTTTGTACAGATTGGCATTCAGTAAATTTTGTATGCTTTTTTCTGGGGTTTGGCAAACTATGGACCTCAAATTAAATCAAACCCACCTCCATATACACAGCTAAAGTTTTATTGGAACAAAACCACATTCATTCGTTGATGTACTGTCTGGTTACTTTTATGTTACAATGGCAGAGTTAAGTGGTTATGGCAGAGAACATAATGTCCTCAAAGCCCAAAACATAGACTATCTGGCCCTTTACAGAAAGAGTTGATCAACTTTTGGTTTATTCCATAGAGCAAATATGGGACTCTCAACAAATCCCAATTAGCACCTATAACTACAATGATAGTAATAATTACAGTAGTAGTAATAATTGTTATCAGTTATTAAATGCATACTTTGTGCCAAAATTAGACTAAGCTGAAAGAGCAGGGTCCTATGATTTATAGCCTCATCCAAATCACATGAAATGAGGAAAGAATAGTTAGAAAATAGAATGCCTGTCATTCAGAAGAAAAAGAGATCAATATCTACCATACTATTAATAAATACAAATGTTAGCCTGTCATGACTTGTTCTAATGAATGCCTAACCTCATTCAATATATGAAATTAAATTGGATAAAGTCTCATTAATACAAGAAGTGATTAGTATTTTTTCAGAGGCAAGCATTTGTTGATAATATGCTAAACTTAGTTTGATTCTAGGAGGGGAGCCTCTATGTTGTATTTCCTATTCTTTGTAACAATGAAATAAATAAACAAAACTCTATTTCAAATCAATAGTAATGCCAAATCAAACTGCGTAGTCTCCAGATTGGGATGCATACAAAAATGATCTGCTGTGGTAGAAATAATTTATTAAAAATTCTGTTTACATTTATCTTATCTCATCAATTTTAGTAGGTATTTTTAAATTATATATTAGAAAAATTGTGTACATATAAATAAACAAATATAGTACTGAAGTTTACTTGCTCAAATATTATTACTTATAGAGATGTGCATCCAAAAATGTTTAGAAACTACTGACAAACTATAAGTAAATAACCTGTCAAAGAGTTCTCAGAATCCCTCTAAGATTGTAACTGAGTATGCCTGTAGCATAATCCTTATTAATTTTGCTAGAAAACTCAGTTATGTTCAAATATAAATAAATATACTTATGTTTAAATACAGATACATCAATAAATGCAATGACTGTCATTTCATTCCTTCGTAAAGCCTTTCATTCTCATCTCTTCCTTCTCTTTGCTGATCTTCAAATTCTGAAGCTTCTTTAATGGGATTCCTGTTAGCAAGTTCTCTCCTTTCTGTGTCCTCCATACACAAATGTCTGTGGTTTCTTGATAATTATATTCCATGAACATATTAATCATACCTTTGCTCCTAATTTTATATACAAGTTGGAATCCAGACTAAGCTTTTTTATTTAAAAAAATTACAAACTCAAATCAATAAATGCTTCTACCATATTTTTCTCTCTTTCATTTAAGCATATTGCTATAATTACACTTACTATTCTTTTCTCACTAATTTATCACTCTTCTTCTTCCTTTCTTTATTATCCATGTAAATTTTAACCTTTCTAAGATAGACTGATTTGTTTCTTTGCCGTGTAGTAAATGATCCTCCTACTTCTAGTCAAATTCTCCACAGCATCAATCAGAGTCTAGTTGTTACTAAACAATGGTTGCAGTTTTGTGCTGTGGTGACTTACCAGAAAGAACGATGATTCCTAGTGAAGTTCATCACTCCCAGTGCATGAGATAAGAGTTACATTTCAGCAAATGTGGACCTAAAAACAAAAGGTGAACCACTTCATCAGATGCTTAATAATAAAATTCAATGCCATTTGCTCACAGATGTACTTTTTCAGCTAAACTGGGTCTCAGGATCCACATGTAGTTCCTCAGCGCTGTAGCGCAGCTCTGATTTGTGCACATATGTGCTCACGTTAACAACATCATACTTTGGAGGTACTTAACATAAAAGAGGAAATAGTTCTTTAGAAGATAAAACTCTCAGTATAGGACATCTGATTTTTAATATTTTCTTTTCTTGTTAAGTCCTAAAACCAGATGATATGAGGTCTAAGCAATATTCTTAAAGGAAATTTGGACCTCTGCTACATTACATCATGCTCACACATCACTTTAGGAAAAGTTAAAAGAGTTATAACAAAAATATTTTATACTTTGATAAACATAAATTTTCAGAACTGAATTATAACTATTGCATTCCAAATGAATTTTCTGTATACATTACTGATTTTAACACCAAGGTCATGGTCATTTTAATGAAAATAAGTAAATAAATAAACACTAGCAGAAAAATATGGTCAGAAAAAAGGAGAATAAAACCTGCATCTGAATTTCAGTTGATAATGGGCTATTTAATAACTACCAGTACACAGCTCTGCAGGGAAAAAGGCAATAATTCATGTTAGGTATATCCAGTACCTAATGATAATCAACATGCTTTAAGGAAAATGAAGATAATATTTCTTTATGGAAAAGAGGTAAACGAACTTCTTTACATAATATGTTTAAAATTCTCTTTTTAGTATTCAGATTTTAATGAACTGCAGATCACTGCAATTCTTCATGTTAAATCACATCTGGGATTTTTCCTTAATCAAGTAAATTGGGTTAAAATATTGCATTTTTATTGTTAGCTTAATAGCTTAAAGAGATATTAAACATTTAATTATTAACCTTGACATGAAAGAATTGGAGAGATTTCTTAGATGATTTAAGGATTTGAAAGTTCTCTCTTCTGAGTGAAGTTTATATGTTAGGATAAAGCAAATCTAACGAGCTATCTTGAAATGGGCATCTGACTAATTGAAAGAGACTAATAATATAGCATACATATATATCCAATGTTACTTAAGGAAATCATTCATAGAAGAATAGAAGTTTTATTTTAAAAATCAACTAATGGATGTTAAATATTAATAAACTCATCATAACTGAATAACAGATAGGTTAGCCTAGTAATTTACTCATTCAAAAAATATTTACTGTACATTCATGATGTGGAAAGCAGTATTCTAGGCACTAGCAAGAGAGCAGGGAATTGGTTCTTATCAAACTTATATTCTACTAGAAATAGATGCATATGAATAGAGTTTTCAGAAGAGAAATTAAAGGTTGCAAGAAATATAAATAATATAAAGAGTCACATATTAATAGGCAATATAGGCAATGGTATGCTGACAAATGTTTAATAACCAGCTCTCTAAAAGGAACAAAGCAAGCCGAGTTTTTGCCATTTTCTGTGATGAAAACATTCCCAACATGACTAATTTAAATTTACTAATATGACATCACTCAATACATAGTTGGAAAGAGGTATACCGTAAGCCCTAGTGAGCTGTTATAAGACAGCATTGGCACACACACTATGACAAGATTACTTTAAGTTGGATACTCAGAAAAGGCCTCTCTGGGAAAGTGACACTTAAACTAAGATCTGAAAAACCAGAAAAAGTCGTGTGTGAAATCTTGAGGCATTACACCCTGAAGAGGGATAACAGCTAAAGTTTCCAAACCAGTGCAAGCCTGGATTGTTGGAAGAACAAGAAGGCCAATAAGTCTGGGGTGTACTACATAAAAGGAGGATATACAATGAGATTAGATAAACAGTCAAAGCTTTTCATGCAGAACTTCATAACATAGGGTATGAAATTTGGCAAAGATGTCACTGGAAGGTTTGTGAATCATGTTAATTGTATTGATTAAAACTTTTGCATTTACTCTATGCTGTCTATAGTAAAGCAAAAAGCTATTACAGAAGGAGGAACAGACCTTGGCTTACTGATGATAAAAAGAATAGGAAAAAATCCTTAAAAACTAGGTTGAATAAGAGGTTAGAATTAGTAGGCATCTCAACATATTATTACAATTATGGCATCCAACTTAATACATAATTTGCTTTGCTTCATACAAATATATTTTTCTGCTTTTGTTTTCTATGTTCAATTACCACTGTCTGTCATGTTGTACTATTATCACTTTTAGAAAGTGATTCTATCATACAAAACCAACATAATCTAAAAAGACTCCCTGAGATCATGACCCAAGAGCTTATATATAAAACAAATGTTTTTAAAACTGTGCCTATAATAGCACACAACAGCAAGTATTAGATTCCACAAACATAATATTTGGGAAATAAAATGTTATGGACTCCAAGAGAACTGTATATATTTCTAACTCTATTCAAAAATGTCCTGTAACTCTAGATAGAATTTCCCTGGGCTATAGAAAAGCACAGATGGTATTAGTGTTTATTAGATCCATGAAGCTTGCTTTAAAAAATATATTTGAAACACTGATGTTCTGCTAATATGGCAAGAATATGGAGATCAGAAACAACAATGCAAAGTAGACATTCCTTGTGGGTGGAAGAAAATAAAAATATTTACATTAACCAAGTCTAAGTGCAACAGCTCAATTAATACAAAACATTAATTTATTTTGGGCTTGTTGCAAAATTAGTTTTAGATTGAGCTTTTAAAGTAATTAGGCTAATATTGTCTCCTCTGAGAGGAACCTGGAACAGTGCTATACCATCTGTCCAGTTCATTGTCTAAAGAAAGAAACTGATGCATAAACAGAAAAAAAAACAATGGATTGTGATAATTTCTCAAAAAATGTATGATGAAGTGTTACAGCAGCAGAGTAGGAGCAGCACTTGAGATTTGAGAAGATCCTCAAAGAAGAGTTTAGCCCATGTATTGAAAGATAAGTGGGAATTTGTCAATGAGAGGTGAAAGAAGGCATTCTGTGCATATCTGTGATTTCCCAATGGCTAAGATATGAACTACTTGCAAGAATGAAGAAGAGTGATGATTAGAGAGTTTAAAAACAACTTGGATTCATATTATATGTCTTGGTAAAAAATTGATTTTTATCTCTCTTGGTCTTGGGAATCAGTAGAAGCCTTTATTTTTTTCCCTTGAATAAGATTTTATTTTGAAATAGTTTAAGATAAACAAGTTTTTAAAATAGTACAGAGGTTCCCAAAGAAACTTGTAAGCAAAGAAGTTCATCCAAACCAAAAAATTGATATAGGTATGCTATTAACTAGACTACAGATCATACTGTGATTTCATCTACTTTTTAGTCATCTTTTCTTCCCTTAGTATATAGTTCTATAAATTCCATGACATATATAGATTAGTGTATCACTACAATCAAGATAGAGTACTGTTCTATCAACATAAAGAAATTTATCTTTTAATAGTCACAACCCTCCACTTCCTCATACCATAACCCCTAATAACCACTGATCTGTTCTCCATCACTACATTTCATCATATTTAGGCTTTTAAATAAATAGAATCACACAGTAAGTAACCTTTTGAGATAGGCTTTTTTCCCACTTAGCCTCAATATATATTCAAGTTATTGTGTCTATTAATAGCTTATTCTTTTTCATTTCTGAGTAGTATTCTGTTGTAATGATGTACCACAGTTTGTTTATTCATTCATTCATTGAACGACAATTGAGTTTTTCCAGATTAGGGCTATTACAAATAAAGTTCCTATGCATTTTAGTGTTCTGGTTTTTCGTGAATGTAAGTTTCCATTTCTCTGAGATAAACACTAAAGATTGTGATTTCTATGTCATGTGATAAAGATATGGTTAACTTTATAAAAGAATGCCAAACTGTTTTTCAGAATAAATGTATCGATTTACATTCCCACCACCAATGCAGGAGAGATCCAGTTGTTCCACATATTTACCAGCACTTGATATTGTCAGCATGGTTTTACTTTTCCCATTCTAGTAAGTGTATAGTGGCATGTTATTGTAGCTTTACTTTGCTTTTCTCTAATAGCTAATGATATTGCATCAAAAACCTTTTAAACCTTTAAAAATGATATTATGATATAATGGGTAGGTAACTTTGGGAACTATGTAGAGAATTTAATGAGATGTCCAGGAATGAAAGACTAAGGAACAACTGAGAGTAGGGACACAAGTCAGGATGTTCAGCTATAGGCCAGAGAATAGATAAAGTTTGCCTGAAGTAAAGTATTGACAAAAGGCAAGGAGATGAGAGGAGTGGTTGGATTTGAGAAGCATTTGGAAGTCGATTCAAAAGGATTTAATGAACAGTTTATTGTGGGAATGAAAAAAGGAAGTTGTCCATGTCAATTCTTAGGTTTTAAGCTTCAAAAAGTATGTAGATAATGGCTATAGTAATCAAAATTAAGAATAATAGAGGGAAATAGTTTGAAGAGAGGAAATGATAGATATTTTTGGCCATATTAAAACTGAGGTATCTACAGGACATACCAAAATATCTAACTCAGTAGGAAAAATATTATTCAGAAAGGACATTTGGTTTATGAAGAATAAAGACCTATTGGATTAAGTGGAATGTTTTACTTAAAAGTAGTTTCCTACTCTTTTCAGGAATATTATTGGCAATTAATCATTGACGTCTAAGCCAGTTCACATTAAAAATAAGACCACACCAAAAGACATTTTAGATTGAGAAACTAATGTGAACAATTCATGGGGAGAAAATTGAAATATGGCAATAGTCTATTGTACAGCTGTCTTGAAGGGGAATTTGAAGGCCATAACTGTCGAAGGATTTTCCTAACTTAACAGAAGCCTGTGTACACTACCAGAAGAATTGATGTTTGCAGTTCCACCCACTGTGTACTTTTTCATGATCAGAGAAATCATTCAGGACAACGCAGTTAGCAAACCATAACTCAAAATCGATAGACCCCCACCCCCCGCATTTTTGTTATTTCATGATAAGATAATGGCAATATATAAAATAAGCATAATACTAATAGTATATAAACCATAAAGTAAAATGTTTAACATATATTATTTTATTCAACCCTAAACATCCTCTATTATAACTTGGTGAGAAAAGTAGTAATATCTCCATGTTAAATATTAAAGAACCTTAAAACTAGAATAAATGCAAAGAACATGACACATGGTATGGATGACCTTTTTTTCTGAAAATAGTTTAAATTCCTTTCCCCTATACCAGTATTAGACTGAGAAATGGAGTCACTCCTGAGAACCATCTAAGTACTGGTATATCTGCTTGAATCACAAACACATGATTATAAGGCAAATGTAATCCATATTTATGTTGTTAAAAAAGATGAAAATCCATAAAATACTGTGATCATATTTAGAGAATTTTCAATCAAATGATTCTGTCAATCCCTAAATATGCTGATAGCAACAAAGAAACAGATGTTTGGTTTTATTCCATTGCCAGTGATATAGGAAAAAAAAAGCTATTAATAAGCATAAATTCTACTAAAGTTGAAAGACATGGAATATTCATATAAATGGAGTACATTTTACCACTTTTTATACTCAAGAAAATAACATGAAAAATAACGGTACAGGGTACTAGGCTTAATACCCGGATAGTGAAATAATCTGTACAACAAACTCCCATGACACAAGTTTACCTCTGCAACGAACCTGCACATGCACCCCAAACTTAAAATAAAAATTAAAAAAGAAAAAAATAGTTATATAGTAAAGAAAAAGTAGTAAGTGTAAGTGGGAGACTTCAAAATTACGAACAAAGTAAAAGAGGAACGAGGGTGGGGTGTCAGATCTAAATAAAAGAAATACAAAAAATAATAAAGAAACAACAAAATTTGCCAAAAATATCCATACTAGAGAAACTACTTTTTTAATAATCATGAAAAAAGCACGATTATATAAATAAAAGAAAAAAGCAATGACTACTAAAATAGAATATAAAACAATAAAGAAAACCTGTAGTAAACTAAGAAATTGTTGAGAAAAATATTATTGGTATTTTCAAAAGGCAAAATTGAAGTGGCAGTATTAAAAAAGGGTTGTTGCACATTGTGTATATTTAAAAGGCAAATTAGAAAAATGGCTTAATTACCTATGTAGCTTATTCCTGCAGAAGAAACTTACCTCAAAAATAGAATGAGTCAACTCATGGTTAATCAACACATCAGGAGAAACAGGACATTCCAGCAATGAAAGAACCATCATTAAGGAAACAATTGAGGACAAACATCCTGACTAATGAAAAGCCCAATTCTTTGATATCACACACAGCTCAATTCAGGAATGATATTCCAAAAAATAATCAAAGTGCCTTTAGAACTATTACCCACGCTTTTACTTTCAGAAGGCATTTTGTAGTTACAAAAGAAAGAACAGAGATATTTGTAATTGTATCTATAAGGATGCAAACTGCCCTCTGCCCTAAAATCTTTAATGACTGTACCACTGCTATAAATATATGTAAACATACTTTAGACACATGCAAGTTTTTTTGAGGTTATATCAATAACAGGTTTCATATAACAAACTAAAAATAAGCAAAAAAAAATGGAAAAAAGGTATGTAACATGCATTTACTATAGTTGACATGCAAACTTAGAGTCCCTGCTTTAAAAAATCAACAATGAAGCTGGGCGCGGTGGCTCACTCCTATAATCCCAGCACTTTGGGAGGCCAAGGTAGGCAGATCACTTGAGGTCAGCAGTTCGAGACCAGCCTGGCCAATATGTTGAAACTGCGTCTCCACTAAAAATACAAAAATTAGCCAGGTGTGGTGGCAGGGGCCTGTAGTCCCAGCTACTCGGGAGGCTGAGGCAGGAGAATCGCTTGAACCCGGGAGGCAGAGGTTGCAGTGAGCCGAGATCACACCACACGCCACTACACTCCAGCCTGGGCGACAGAGCGAGACTCCATCTCCAAAAAAAAAAAAAAAAAACAACTATGAAGTTCAACAATTGCAAAATGTTTAATCAAAAGAGTTTATCAAGAGAATGAAAAAGAATGTAGCTATTAGAATTTATAAAGCTATAAACTCTATCAGTATAGAAAAAGATATATTGGAAGAAATAAAACAGTCGGTACTTTTAATGTATTCATTTTTTTCTCCCAATGTATCAAATATTGAATAAAAACATATATGCATGAAATATGGTGCTATAATCAAATGGATACTCAATAAATACTATCAATATATTGCGGCTTGAGGTGATAAAAATATACAGACAGGTCAGTTTGGAACCATGCATAAAATTCTTTATGAAAAATAGAAGCTCCATATTCATTTATTTAACAAAGATGTATAGACTATGTGCTTAACAAAATAAACACTGAAAGAAGCCATCTTCATGGAAATACAGGATTATATTGGAAAAAAAAGTCACAATGCTTTCTTTCCTGATTTATTAAGGAAAATTACAAAGATTTTGGAAAGACTCAATAAAATATATTTACTTCGTTAAAAAAACACAAACCTATGCATACTAATAAGTAGAGAACCTCGGTTGCTGCTTCTGTTGATTACAGAGACTACTGGGATAAGGCAATCAAAACTAAGAAATAGTTTGCCAGTCTCTTGGAAGCCAGAGAAAAAGAAAAACACCAGAAACCTAGCCCTGGAATGTCATTGAATAGCTGTAGGATAGTGGCAAGGATGTCAGCATCTGTTAACACTCGATTTTCTCTTCTGCAAAAATGAAACTATTAGTATTCCACCATATTGCAATTAATATCACTTGAGCTAATGTATACAAGCAGTATGAAATCCCACAGGATTCACATGTAAAATATTGGATTTTTTATATTTTAATATGTAAAATGTAAGTTGTTTCTTTTCTCTCTGATACAAAATGCAGTTTTCATTCCACAGTTTCACTCTCATACACTTAATAACTTTTGTTAACGTAACAATACAGTGTGAGAGTTCCTGGGGCTATGCCTGACCCAAAGCAGACACTTAGTAAAATGTCTGTGGAACCTAAATTTATTTTAGGATACAATTGGAATCTAAACTAAAAGAGTTTTCAAATTCAGAATCAGGCATATTTGCTGCAAAGCATTATGGGTCTCATTTCCATTTCCAAATCCACCAAGTCCATCCTTTCACGCATCATGTTACTCAGGGATAAAGCACATCTAAGTGAAACAGAAGTTAAATCTGCTCTTTCATAACCCAGAGACATTAATTACAATGGAATAGCATGATAAACACCGTGAACGATATGGAGATTAATAGAAAAAATATGAAAAGAAAATGACAGCAGCTAGGAAGAAACAAAAAGGATGGGTGGAAATAAGGGAGGTTGACCTCCAAAGGGCAAGTAAAGTAGAACTAAAATAAAACCTGGTGATTTTGATCTGCATGTGTAATTAATATAGTTTCTGGTGGGGGGTGATGGGAGAAATGGGGATAAAGAAAAGCCCTGAGTAGCAACCTTCTTGCCTGAATTGTGAAGGCAACACGAATACACAGATCAGGTCTTGGGAAAAATAAATGTGACCCCTTAAAACTTGCACCATATTATTGAAATCTCTTTGACACAAGTAACCATAGAAGACACAGGTGACATATGGGTTGCTCTTTATGTAGGGCTTTAGCAGTCTATTCAGTCTTTTACCATGTGACTACTTTGTATGTGGAAAAATTGTTATATAAACAAAATAGAAGCATTTTCTCTTTGATACCAAGAGTAGAGCTAAGACCAATAAATCAATATTAAGGGAAAATTTTACCTTAGATATAAGAAAATAATTTTCTAACAGCTCAAATTATACTCAGTTGTTGTTATTAACTAACAACCCTTATGATATCTGCATACTAATACTTGTAAAATCAAGATTAATTTGATATTCATTTCTGGTAGGGGATGGGGTTATGTCATTTTCCTACAGTCTTGGAGAGAAAATAATTTGTTAAATGCAATTGGCTAGCATCTATTGGAAATCTTGTAAAGGTTATATATTTTTAATTTCACTTAATATTTCTGCTTTTATTTTTCTACACACGACCATAAATATATATCTTCATGTATGCATGATGAAGCATGGTGAGTAACAGATTTTTTAATGGAATAAGCTATTATGGTACTTTCATTCTATGAAATATTACATAGTTCTGAATCAAAATGAGAGGGATAGCTGTATAAAACCTCAGCTATTGTTAACAGAAAAAAAGCATGTAAACAAAATTATTAAATTATGGTTTTAATAAAATCCATATATATGAATTTGGACACGTGTATACACAAGTAAAGTCAGAGAAAATGACAGAATATAACGTATGTTGAAATGATAGCAATGACTACCACTAAAAAAAATCAGAATAGAATGGTAATTTAAAATAAATATAAGACAGCAGTGGGCAGGATGAGGACACATTTAAATCTACATAATACTGCATTGTGTAAGCTAAATTTTTCAAGACCTGCTTGTGTAATTATTTTTAAAAAGAAAACAGGTTTGTTTCCTTGTGTTGAGAATTATTCAACATGGAAAGTGCTACAGAAGAGAGAGCTCATTGACTCCATTTGTTCTAAAAAAACAAACAAGCAACAAAAAACCCTATATATTTTATACAAGTAGAAATAACTAGCAATATATTTCTATAGGGAGAAATAAGCCAGCATATTTTCAACGTTCTTAAGATTTCATTTCTAAAGCAAATAAAACAAGGCAAAGCCAATATTGTAAAAAAAATTAATCCTAAGTCTACATGAACTTAGCTGGGTACCAGTTGAGATATTTGAAGTTTATCTACCCTGTAGTCCTCACATTTAAAATTTTTCTCAATAGTTGAATGTAAGTTATTTACTTCTGGATTGAACAATAAAATGTAAATGGAGGTTTCCAGGAAGATGAATTGAGTGTGCCATACTGCCTGCCTCTGTAGGCTCCACCTCTGGGGGCAGGGCACAGACAAACAAAAAGACAGCAGTAACCTCTGCAGACTTAAATGTCCCTGTCTGACAGCTTTGAAGAGAGCAGTGGTGTTCCCAGCACGCAGCTGGAGATCTGAGAACTGGCAGACTGCCTCCTCAAGTGGGTCCCTGACCCCTGACCCCCGAGCAGCCTAACTGGGAGGCACCCCCCAGTAGAGGCAGACTGACACCTCACACAGTGGGTAATCCTCTGAGACAAAACTTCCAGAGGAACGATCAGACAGCAGCATTCGCGGTTCATGAAAATCCGCTGTTCTGCAGCCACCGCTGCTGGTACCCAGGCAAACAGGGTCTGGAGTGGACCTCTAACAAACTCCAACAGACCTGCAGCTGAGGGTCCTGTCTGTTAGAAGGAAAACTAACAAACAGAAAGGACATCCACACTAAAAACCCATCTGTACATCACCATCATCAAAGACCAAAAGTAGATAAAACCACAAAGATGGGGAAAAAACAGCAGAAAAACTGGAAACTCTAAAAAGCAGAGCGCCTCTCCTCCTCCAAAGGAACGCAGCTCCTCACCAGCAACGGAACAAAGAGAATGACCAGCAACGGAACGGAGAATGACTTCAACGAGTCGAGAGAAGAAGGCTTCAGATGATCAGACTACTCCAAGCTACAGGAGGAAATCCAAACCAAAGGCAAAGAAGTTGAAAACTTTGAAAAAAATTTAGACGAATGTATAACTAGAATAACCAATACAGAGAAGTGCTTTAAAGGAGCTGATGGAGCTGAAAGCCAAGGCTCAAGAACTACGTGAAGAATGCAGAAGCCTCAGGAGCCAATGCGATCAACTGGAAGAAAGGGTATCAGTGATGGAAGATGAAATGAATGAAATGAAGCGAGAAGGGAAGTTTAGAGAAAAAAGAATAAAAAGAAACAAACAAAGCCTCCAAGAAATATGGGACTATGTGAAAAGACCAAATCTACATCTGATTGGTGTACCTGAAAGTGACGGGGAGAATGGAACAAAGTTGGAAAACACTCTGCAGGGTAGTATCCAGGAGAACTTCCCCAATCTAGCAAGGCAGGCCAACATTCAGATTCAGGAAATACAGAGAACGCCACAAAGATACTCCTCGAGAAGAGCAACTCCAAGACACGTAATTGTCAGATTCACCAAAGTTGAAATGAAGGAAAAAATGTTAAGGGCAGCCAGAGAGAAAGGTCAGGTTACCCACAAAGGGAAGCCCATCAGACTAACAGCGGATCTCTCGGCAGAAACTCTACAAGCCAGAAGAGAGTGGGGGCCAATATTTAACATTCTTAAAGAAAAAAATTTTCAACCCAGAATTTCATATCCAGCCTAACTAAGCTTCATAAGTGAAGGAGAAATAAAATACTTTACAGACAAGCAAATGCTGAGAGATTTTGTCACCACCAGGCCTGCCCTAAAAGTGCTCCTGAAGGAAGCACTAAACATGGAAAGGAACAACCGGTACCAGCCACTGCAAAATCATGCCAAATTGTAAAGACCATCGAGGCTAGGAAGAAACTGCATCAACTAACGAGCAAAATAACCAGCTAACATCATCATGACAGGATCAACTTCACACATAACAATATTAACTTTAAATGTAAATGGACTAAATGCTCCAACTAAAAGACACAGACTGGCAAATTGGATAAAGAGTGAAGACCCATCAGTGTGCTGTATTCAGGAAACTCATCTCACATGCAGAGACACACATAGGCTCAAAATAAAAGGATGGAGGAAGATCTACCAAGCAAATGGAAAACAAAAAAAGGCAGGGTTTGCAATCCTAGTCTCTGATAAAACAGACTTTAAACCAACAAAGATCAAAAGAGACAAAGAAGGCCATTACATAATGGTAAAGGGATCAATTCAGCAAGAAGAGCTAACTATCCTAAATATATATGCACCGAACACAGGAGCACCCAGATTCATAAAGCAAGTCCTGAGTGACCTACAAAGAGACTTAGACTCCCACACAATAATAATGGGAGACTTTAACACCCCACTGTCAACATTAGACAGATCAACGAGACAGAAAGTTAACAAGGATACCCAGGAATTGAACTCAGCTCTGCACCAAGTGGAACTAATAGACATCTGCAGAACTCTCCACCCCAAATCAACAGAATATACATTTTTTTAGCACTGCACCACACTTATTCCAAAATTGAACACATAGTTGGAAGTAAAGCTCTCCTCAGCAATTGTCTATGTTTTTATGTAGTCTGTAATACTTTCCTCTTATAGACCAAACTTCAGGTTTTTTAGGAAAAGTTGGAGCTCTGTGCATTATGCCCCACCAGCTTCAGGTTCCATTGTCAACCTACCCCATACGTATAAACCATCTGTTCGTCATGTTTTGGCTTTATCCAAACATCTTCACAAAGAGGCCATCTGTTCCCTTCTTTTAGATATCTATTTATGGCACTTTCTCTCTTATCTATTTTACAACATTTTTGCATATGTCAAAAATTCAATTACTAGTCACATATTAGTATGTCGTCTACTCAGGAGGAGTCTTAGTGATCCAAAGTGCATGGATAGTACCGAGAGACTGATAGATCTATCTAAAATGAAGGGTATGGACATTGCCATAAAAGCCTCACAATGCATGAAATGGATAATAGATGTGAGATTCCCTGGGGAGCTGTGTGCACGTGACTTCCAAAACGCTGTCATTTCACTATGTAGAAGGACAATATGAATTTACATGGAAATTTATTTCCACCATCAGTAATATATTCCTATTGCAAATGTACATTTTAGAGAAAGTATATTTTCAGTTGAAGTGAAAAAAAAAGAGATGCACAAATAGATGTTTGAATGGCATTTGTATAATTCAGGGTCAAGTTTTTAGGACAAGCTTACCAAAGAAATTTTTAAGGTTAAATAAAAAGCAAACTTTTAGTGTATCAGGGTGTTTGCTAAAAGCAGAGCACTGTGACAAACATAAAAAGCAGAAACATTAAAAGCAGAAAACTCTTTATTTTCTCTGCTTCCCTGGGAGAAAAACACCAACAGAAGAATTCGGTAGATAAATGATGTTTCCAACTGTGTTGGGAACTTGGAGTTGTGAGATAACAATTGGGACCACAGATTCAGACACCATCATCACCAACTATTTTTGTTCACATTTAAAAATAAAAAGTCAAAAGAAATTTACTAAAATCTGTATATGTCTGGTTACATATTTATATGGTTAAAATTTAATATATATACTTTTATATAACTGCATTATCTATCAATGTATCTATACATCTGTAACTTTTATCTACAAATATGTTTCCAAGTTCTATGGATAATAGATGAGCAAATCAATTACATATGAAGGTTATCTAATAAACATTATCAAATTTATTTAGACATCAACACTTGTAGGAAGATTTTGGTATAATAAAATAGACAGACAGATAGATAGATAGATAGATAGATAGATAGATAGGTAGATAGATAGATAGATAGATAGATAAGGTAGATAGGCTAGATAGTTCAACACAAAATGTTAACATAAAATATGACAAAGGCACTGGAATAGAAATAAAGCAAATATGTTAAACATAACCGTAGCTTTGAGAAAGCATAAAGCAAGCCTGAATAAAAACTTCTACTATTCCAGATGAAGAGATAATTTTATGAAACATAAAAGGATATGTTTATTGCTTGGAAAGGATTGTAGTTTTTCTTAGCATTCATGTCTAAGTGAAATTTCTTACACAGATGTACACAGAAAAGCAATATTATTTTCTCCAATAAGAACACAGACTAGTGACTCTTGATTGATCATCCACAGTGCATTACACTCAGCCATTTTACAAATGGGCTCTCAAATTTTGACATTAGGGAAGTAAGTCAATTTGAGCCAAGAGTTTCAATAAAGCTATGCACGAACATGAATCTTGATATAGGTTAAGATTCTGGATCTAGAGCAGCCTTTGACCTCCATCTGCCTAGAACAGACATAATTTTCTTTTCATTCATTTTTGGTGAAAAATATAGGCTGGTGTGATTATTTCTGTGATGTAATTCAATAACTAAAATGTACACTCTTGTCTCAAAGTCCTCAACATCACCTTGTCCTAAACTCCTGGTCCAAGACCAATCTACCCTCCATCCTCTTGTTGCCTGGATCCCTTTTCTTTGTGGGTATGACCATTGGAGCACTGAAAAGATGATATAAGTGTCAGGTGAATTCCATGTTATACATTTGATTTATGAGGGAATGCAGGCTGCTTTGGGAATTTCCTCTGGCACCTTAGCCCTTTTTCTCCTTTCCTTTTCTCCATATTCCAGGACCATCTGTAAAAGGCAGGGATGAGAGAGAGTTCAATGCCTTTCTCCTCCTCTTGATAAGAAGGGGTAGGATTATGGATAACTACAACTTTGAGAATTCTCCCTCTTACCTTCTGTAGTCCTCTAGATGTGGTCCAGGGGATTGGGGTTTTCAGAAGTGGTGTTTTTGCTGTGCCCTGTCCTAGAAGGCCCTGCAGAAGCTGACTAAAATGGGTAATTTTCTGAACTTAGAAATTGGAGCACTTAGTTTACTCTGCTTGTCAGCATTCTCACGGAAGCAAGAAACAGTCCTCAAAAGCACTTTATAACTGATACCATATAAAAACAATTTTTGCTACATTCGACATGACATACTCTTACAGTGATGTCTCTGGCAGAACAATGCACACTCAGTGAGTTGAGGAACAAGTTGCTGCAAAGAAGTGATAAGGCTTCATGTAAAGGCATGCTAGTGTTAAAGAAAGATGCCCTATATGCCAGAAATTGTAAGAAATTTGCATTATGACTGTATCAGATAATATGGTCAGGACAGTAAAGAGTTTTTTGGTTCTCCTCAAATTAAAAACAACTAATTCAATAAGTATGGAAATATGTTTTCAATATTCTATAACTTTTTTATACTTTAATTCCTTCAAGAGTGTCATTAAATAATCCAGTTTTTTTAAGTATCCTGCAAACACCAAAGGTTGACAATCAAAGTTTTAAGTCAACATGTGAAGTTGCCATTGCTACTTATCAAGGCAATAAAGTCAATGACTGATATATTTTTTCAGTTTTTTAAATTTATTTTTTAATTAAATTTTAGTGTTTATTTTAGATATGGGGGGATACATGTGCAGGTTTGTTACATAGGTATATTGCATAATCCTGAGTTTGGGGGTATGGATCCTGTCATCCAGGTAGTTAGCATAGGATCCAATAGGTAGTTTTTCAACCCTTTCCCACCTCTCTCTCCCCTCTTTTAGTCCCCGGTGTCTATTGCTTCCATCTACATGTCCATGTAAACTCAATGTCCAGCTCTTATTCATTAGTGAGAACATGTGGTATTTGATTTTCTGTTTCTGCATTAATTCACTTAGGATTATGGACTTCAGCTTAATCCATGTTGCTTAAAAGGACATAATTTGATTCTTTATTATGACTGCATAGTGTTCCTTGGTACCTGTATGTACCACATTTTCTTTATCCAATCCACCACTAATGGATACCTAGGTTGAGTTCATGTCTTTGTTATTGTGAATAGAACAGTAAAGAAAATATAAGTGCGTGTACTTAACTGATGTATTTGTACAGACCACCTCTTAACAACTCCATTTTGACTGGCCTTTTTGTATGTCGTCTGCTCTGATGAAACAGCGTCAAGACAATTTAAGAGTATCTTTGCACAAGTTCTTCCCTTCTGAAACACTCTTCTCTCTTTACTTTTTTGCCCTTTGGATCTCATTTGAGCCAAGCCCTCCTATTGCACATCTCCTTGTCATTTTTTAATTATACTTTCTCTGTGACCAGACTACATAGACTAAAAATCCACTCTCACCACTTAATTACATGTGAACATGAACAGACTCATCTAGCCTGACTTTGTCATCTTTTTCTTATTTGTCAAATAGAGATAATAACAGTAGCTTTTCATAAGGTTGTTGGGAAGATTGAATGAGTTAAGATAAAGCACTCAAACTATATAAATGTCTTATTGTACTCAGAGCTATGTTAAGTGTTAGATATTATTACATTTATTATCAGTATTCACATTTTATTATTGTTGTATTGGTGGGCATACAGGCTGCTTTGGATACCCTGGGAATCATGTTAATCTTTCTCTACCTTTATATTCTCAGCATCTAGTTCAATGCCACACACACACAAACATGCTTCACAAATGTCTGTTGACAAATCAGGTAAATGGCATGGCTTACTGATGTCTAACTGTGGAGATAGTTATCACTCATGGGCCCACTGAGAGCAAAAAGAAAGCTGACAATGGTAAAATAAACTCAGATAGGACTCAGAAGGACCTGTTTTTACTGACTTGGTTTTAGGATATATCTACACATAGAGAAGGGTTCGGACAATTATAGTTAGCAAATCAAGCAACAACAGTGTTTCAGACACTTTGATACCAAAATAATTTTCCTCACTTTAAATATAGCAGTTTTTCCATAAAAATGGCATGCATCAGCAAGGTAAAAAAGATACCATGTGTATATATCACTCAGACTTCCTGCAGAAAAAAGATGACACTCAAATTTGGTAATTTGAGGAATGTCTAAAACAAGCACTATTTGAATAGATGTGGGCAGGTTATAGGAAAATTGAAAAGGAAGGCAGTAACCTACAGACTATGCCTGAAAGGATGGAGGGAAATAAGAGTTTGCAGGAATCTGGAGGGAAAACTGTGTGGAGAGAACACTTGACAAGAAATGTGACCTCTGGTGGGCAGATGCAGTCAGCTTGGAGAGAGGAAGCCAGGGAAACAAGTACCTTACTTCTCTCTTCCTCAGATACCTTTTCCTGCCGTCATTCCTCCAGAAGTTTCTCTTGACAGCCAAACAACCAGGAGCCAGTAGAAAGAAAACTCTAAGTTAGAACTCACACACGTCAGTTTCATGAACACAGAGCAGGGTAGGGAAGGCTGAAGAGTAATTTGGAAGAGCAAAGGAAAGATGTCGAATGCATAAAGTCCACTAAGTTTGGGAAACATTGGGTTAAACAAAGCTACATAATTTTCTTTTCTGCAGGATTTCTCAGATCCTTTAAATGTGAATGCAAACTACAACTCTCCAGGAAGAGGGAAAAAATGTGCCAAGCATGCCAAATGTTTAACCACACAACCTCCCATTCTTGTAGAACACCTTAACAGACTCTTGTCCCATGTGACACACTCTAACATTTTCCAATGTTAGTATCTTGTAAATATTCAGGGTCAACCCATCATACCCCAAGTATTAAATTAATTTTGCCTGAAGAGTTGGTGTCTTAATTGGTAGAATTAGTATATTCCATTTCTCTAGCCCAAATTGTAGAACTTTCAGAGCTTCAAATAATTCTGGGCATTCCTCTACTCTGATGGGTTCAATCGGCAGATAAAATAATGAAGACATTGAAAAATAAAGTCGCTTGGGCAAAAACGAGAGCTATTCCTCTTGCACCAAAATTTAGAATTTTAACATGAGTCTCTAGACTCGGTCTTACAACTTTCCAAACTATCAGGTTTAGAACACAATGGAGTTTTTAAAACCAGATTCAGAAATTAATGCACACACAGTTAATATAGGTAGATGGTACATCCTATTTTCTGCACTGCTAAGATATCCACTAGGCCTATATTACTTCCATCAGAAGCAAATAAATTTGCCCTTTTCATAACCCAAAAGTAGAATTCAAGAATTCATTGCCCTCAAAATTGGTTCACCCAACTTGATTTTTTTCTGTAAAACTGGGTTCTAAATAAAGTTCTCAGTATATAAATGAACACAGAGTGTTGTGCAAGTGGGCTTGCCCTTGGTAACAGACACAGCTGTGCCTATCAAACACAAAATATGGTATTTAATTTTGGAAAATTGCTAACAGCAGGCAGAACTCTACAAAGGAAAGTCACCTTCAACTGTCACCTAGGAAGAAACAAAGATATCAGGAACAGTACCATTTTTCCAAATGTTTCCAGGCTACAGTTGCATTCGGTGCCTTTCCAGAACAACTGAACAATGAAATGGATAGTAATCTGCCAAATGCATACAGCTGTATGCCTGTTTTCCTGGGGTTTATATTAGGGCCTGGGGAAACAAAGTTAAGGAAGTAAGGCTGCAGGGTAGCATCAGTCCATCCACTAGAGTCCAATTCAGATTCAGATGGTCAGATTGGACTCTAAAGTGGAATTCCTAGTATAATACAGTCTTCACTTCCTTACAATATGGTTCCTGGTTTTTTATCCTTTACGTTGGCACTGTTCAAGCAGCACATTTTGCCACCATGCAATTATCTTTTGGCAACCCTGGGCAGTTGTTGTTTGTGGAGAGTGTGTGGTGGCATTGAACACCTACATGCTTATATATACAGGTGGCTGAAGTTAACCAATTATTCAGAGGCAGTTAGATGAATCATGCATTTAAGGACTTGTCTGATTCACATCTCTACCTCATATGTAGAGGATTCTTTTCTCCCCAGTAAAATTTTATGGAGATTTACTATGGAGGGCAGATGTGCTGGTTCTAGCACGACGTGGTGGACTGGAATGGAATCAAAGATGCTCTTCCAATCTTTTAGGTGTAATACATCAGTGTTAACACTCACTCATTCATATAGCAGGGGTAAATAATCAAGAGTGTGGCATCATAGAAGCAGCAAGTCTTGAATTGTGGAGAGTCCTGCTTTTTTGTTGTCATTTTATTTTCAGTTTAGCTGAAAGTACACAGTCTTCCTTGTTTCGAACATTTTCTACTTTATGGCAATAGATTAAATTTAATAATGTTTTAGTTCACAAATTGTTTCTTGGTGTATATGTGTTTTTATTTTCCACTATGTCATTATTCCAAAAGAATCTACTGCTCTTCTGGTTAAATTCGCTTACCAACACTCTTTGCCTCTAAAAAAAAGATGAATAACAGAGCCCAATTTGAAATGGCCATCTCTGTTACTCCAATTAACATACTGTATATACGTGTGTATTGCAAAAAATAACTAGATTTTCCTGGGCTTGGCATCACTAAAATGTCCAAAAAATATCTTATTCCCATGAACATAAACTTCAAAATGTCAACTGCATTTACAATTATGAATAATAGCGAGCTTCCATTCCCAAGGGAAATAATGAAAGAAATATTTCATAGTTTTTTTAGCAAAAACAAATGATTTGCATGTTTCCACCAAAAGGGAATAAAACCGTTAATATGGAATATCCCTCAGGTCTCCTTTTTGGAAACAAAATTCATAACCACCTGCCATTTGATGAAATCTAATAAATTCCTAATATAGCATACACTCCTCCAAAGTGTTCATTGTTCAAAGAAACTCAAGTGAAAATAAGGTATGAAATCCTCATGTGCACAGAGAGATAAAGATAAATGCAGCATTTTTAAAATATCTGTTTTTTTCTAGTACAAAGAAAACATATCGGAAATATTAAAGTGAGCATAATTTCATCCCACAGCAATAGTTTCAACTATACTTTAATTCTACCAGGTAGACTCACACATTTCCTTAATGGGTGTAAAATTTATTAACAACATTTTAGTTCTGTTTTTCATAGAGAATACACATAAACCCTGTGTTTTGATTCATGACATTTTATTCCTATTATTTATCCAAAGGGTAATTAAAATTTCTTTTTTGATGATGTAGATGGAATATGAAAATAGAAGGGAGGTTATTGACCCATTAAATAGTTAAATGAAAATCACCTTCACAGATGTTTGGTGGAGAAAAATGTGCTATGCATAGAAAAGCTGAAATGTTTTTCCACAAATGTTAGGCATTGGGCTGAAATTACAATAGCCTTTCATGTCCAGTTTTGTTACAATTCCATTAAGGCAACTGCAGAGATTGGCAAATAGCTGTTACCATAGGAGAGTCACCATATGTAATATAGTTTGTGCTAGTCATTGTGTAAGCATTTTATATACATTCTCTCACTGACACATTTAACAGCCTGTGAAGTTCCTATTTTATTCCCACCTCACATATTGAGAAACTACAGCTCAGAGAAACAAAGTAAACTGGGTTCCTACTTGAACCTAGTTTTTATGTACTATGCATGGTTTCATATGTTTACAGATATACATATATAAAATTTTATTTATATATAATATATTATATATATAAAATAAACCGTAAAGTCAGAAATTTAGAATGAAATTTAATATGACTATAATTTATTTGCTGATTCCAAGATAGGCATCTATATTTTTCCAACATTAAAATAAAGATCATCTGGACAATCTTCTAACCAACTCCGAACAGTTCTTTCTGGAGTTTTTCTCCTTTTATTTCTCCTACTTGGAGTTGTAGGAGAAATCTGTGTCTCAGAGAAATAAACAAAAGGTGTTCTATTTTAAAATAAAAAGACAGAAATTAGCAGCTTGGACATTTCACAAAAGAAGCTAATTAATTACCAAGCTAACTGGAGGTTTCCTCCATTCATGGGCATACTGGAATTGCAAAATCTAGTTGTGAGCATAGAATAATATCTATAAAAAGTCTTTAAGATAGCATGAAAAACATAGCATAATATCAGTAACAAATATTTTATAATGTCTAAAATTTTATAACTTCTTTTGTCTATTTTCTTAAAACTCCCTTATGCCATAATTTGGCTGTATTTATGTGATAAACACACTCTTATCTTTGTAATGAATTTTTAAGGAAAAGACAGAACCATGTAAAATATGCTTTTGAAAAATGGGCACATTATGCATGTGAATGCTCTCTCTCTACTAATTAATGTAATGTGGCAGTATCCAACAAACCAGAGCAGATGGGGCTCTAAGTTGTACCAGCCTGTGCCGTTCTTAGGGGGAACAATTTTTGTTCACATCTCTAAATAAAGAGAGTGAGATTTTGGGAAGGATAGTATAATTTAACAAACAGCAGAGAGTGTGACCATTCAGACTGCTTTTTCCTGTCAACCACTTGAATGCAAAACCTGTTTCAGAGATGAAGCAATAGAAAGTATTGGAAGCAAGACAGATACGAGTTGGAATCCCAACCATTGCCATGGGTGACCACTAAACCTCAGCTTCCTCATCGGCAGTATGGGGATAACCATAGTAGCAAACATTTCTAAAGGTAATTGTGAGAAGTACTTTTATGACTGCACAATTAATGCTGCTTCTAGTACCACTACAACTGCTGCTATTCTATTACTATCAGTGCCTCTATTACTATCAGAGCCACAGAGCTCTAGCTTATAAGCCCATCTATTCATTTCTAGACTGACATGATCATTTTTGCATATTCTCATTGCCTCCCATTTCTACCTTCTCTAACTTATCCTGCAAATCACTACCTAATTATATGTCAATATTCTGTTTTGAACTCTAGGTAAGTGCTTTCTCTATTTCAATTTTAAAAAAGAAATTCTTGCTCCAAGTCAGTGATTCTCCACCAGGGATAATTGTAATGTACAGAGAACCTTTAGTAATGTCTGAACAAAGCATCTTGACCCACAGAGGACATTTAGCAACATCTAGATGCACTTTTGGCTGTCACAACTAGAGGTACAGGTACTACTGGCATCTAGAGATAGAGGCCAGGGAAGCTTCTAAACATCCTATAATTCAGACTCCTCTTGCCTGAACATGAAGTACACTTGGGGCAATAAAAGAAATCACAGCAAATCTTGCTGTGCGCCCCTCTGCGCCGGAGCCGGCGCCGTGCCCCTCTCTGCGCCTTCTTTTCTCACCATGGGGAAGCGTTTGGGGTCGTCTTGAGGGACCCCCTAGATGCTTCTACTCAGAGCCCCCAAAGCCGGGGAGCCTCCACTCCTCTGTCTGCAGCCTCCCCTGTAGGTTCTCGCTACCCAGGGTTCAGTGGCCTGGGGGCTGACGGAGGTGGTCGCCTCTGCCAAGGCCCCTCCCGGCACCTCCCTGGCTCATCCAGGCCACCTTCCTCCCACGCTCGCTCACGCAAAGTGCTCTGGTCACCAGGAGCCCTTCCTGACCAGCCCCGGCCCCTTCTTGGCCTTCGCCCACCTGGCCTCCCCTGGAGCCCTGACCTGGGTGCCGGGCCTGCTGGGTCCAGAGCCCACCCCGCCCTGAACAACCCCGAGTCTCAGCCACCCTCAGCTCTTACCCTTTCACAGCTGGGGACTGGAGCCTGGGCCTGCGCCTCTCCGCGCCTGCGCCGCCGCTGTGCCCCTCCTCGCCGCTGTCCGCCTCTCAGCCGCTGTGCCCCTCTCCGCCGCTGTCCGCCTCTCCGCCGCGCCGCCGCTGACCGCCTCTCCGCCGCGCCGCCGCTGACCGCCTCTCCGCCGCGCCGCCGCTGACCGCCTCTCCGCCGCGGCGCCGCTGTCCGCCTCTCCGCCGCGGCGCCGCTGTCCGCCTCTCCGCCGCGCCGCCGCTGTCCGCCTCTCCGCCGCGCCGCCGCTGTCCGCCTCTCCGCCACGCCGGCACCGGCGCTGTGTGCCTTTGCAAGGGCGGAGCTGCGTTCTCCTAGGCACAGACCCGGAGAGCATTGCGAGGGCGGAGCCGCGTTCTGCTCTGCACAGACCTTGGGGCACTGCCTCGCTTTGGGACAACTCGGGGCCGCATCGACGGTGAATAAAATCCTTCCTGTTTGCAGCCCTGTTTGTGGTTGGTGGCAGCGATGGACAATGCAGCCAGCCAGAGCTTAGAAAGGCATCGGGGTAAGTGCACTATCCAGGCTGCACTGCGGGTGGCCTGGGACGGGTTGGGAGCCCTATCTCAGGTGTCACTGCCCATCTTGGGTGGCTGGTTGGGTGTGCTATCTGGGGCTGTGCTGCCTGCACCTGGGGGGTGGTTTGGGGGCTCAAACCGGGGCTGCACTGCCTTTGGCGGGGAGCCGGTTGGGGGCACTATCCCAGACGGTATTGCTGGCAACAGTGAGGTGGGCTAAGTGTGCTATCCGGGGCTGCACTGTGCGGCTGTGGGGTGGGGGGTGGCGGTTTCGGGTTGAGGGCACTATGGGGTGCTGTAATGCCCATGGTGCGGGGAGGCGGGGCGGTTAGGGTATGTTGGGTGTGCTATTGCGGGGGGCGACACTGCTGGTGGTAGGGGGCAGGGTGGGTTGGGGGCCATATCAGGGGCTGCACTGATTGCTTTAGCTAGGATTTCAGGTACTATGTTAAACAACAGTGGTGACAGGGGGCATCCTTATCATGTTCCAGATCTTAGAGGAAAAGCTTTCCATTTTTCCCCATTCCATGATTCTAGCTGTGGGTGTCTTTCCTGTAGTTTTTATTATGTTGCGGTATGTTTCTTCTGTGCCTGTTTCTTTGAGGATTTATAGCATGAAGGGATGTTGAATTTCATCAAATGCTTTTTCGGTTTCAGTTGACGTGATCATACTGTTTTTGTCATTTATTTGGTTGATATGATGTATCACATTGTATGTTGAGTGACTCTTGCATCCCAGGGATACATTCCCACTTGATCATGATGAATTATCTTTTTAATGTATTACTGAATTTGATTCACTGGTATTTTGTTGAGGATTTTTGCATCAATATTAGAGATACTGGCCTGTAGTTTCCTTCTTTGATGCTTTTATCTGATTTTTGTATCACAGTAATAATGGTCTCATAGAATAAGTTTGGAAGTATTCCCTCCTGTTTTTCAAAATAGTTTGAGCAGGATTCGTACTAGGTCTTTAAATTGTTTGCTGTGAAGCCATCAGCAGTGAAGACATCAGTTCCTGGGCTTTTCTTTACTGGGAGACTTTTTCTGATGGCTTCAATCTCATTACTTGTTACCAATCTGTTCTGGTCTTGGATGTTTTCATTGTTTAACATAAGTAGGTTGTATACATCTAGGAATTTGCCAATTTCTACTAGGCTTTCCAGTTTATTGGCATATAATAGCCAGTTATGATCCTTTGAATTTCTGAAGTATTAGTTGTAATGTCTCCTTTTTTTAATCTGTTGATTTTATTTATTTGAATCTTGTCTCTTTTCTTAGGCTGGTTAAAAGTTTGTCAATTTTGTATAGCTTTCCAGAAAACCAACTTTTCGTTTAATCTTGTGTGTTTTTTATTTCAATTTTGTTTCTGCTACGATCTTAGTTATTTTCTTATTTTCTGTTTAGTTTGTTCTTACTTTACTAGTTCTTTAAGATGTATTGTTTATTTGAAGTTTTTCTTTTGTTTGGATGGTAGGCACTTATAGCTGTAAATCTCTGCCTTTGTACTGCTTTCTGCGTAACAAGTTTTGGTATACTGTGTTTTCATTACCCTTTGTTTCATGAAATTTTTGAATTTCTGTCTTAGTATCTTCATTGACCCGCTAGTCATTTATTCAGGAGGGTAGTATTTAACTTCCATGTGATTGTATTGTTTCCAAAATTACTTTTCTTATTGATACCTAGTTTTATTCCTTTGTAGTGAAAGAAGATGGCCACGGAGACAGACAGCAGCGTGGTTAGAGTGGTAGGAGCCGGCCATCAGCGAGAGCTGCTCCATGCCTGGCTGCTGGGTGCTAGAGCCTGCGGCCCACTGGCTTGCCTCACTGTGGTTGGTGGTGGCGGTAACAGAGACTGCAGCACAACCAGAGTGGTAGGACAGGGGCTATCCAGGGCTGCACCTTTCGCAGTTTGGGGTGGGTTGGGGGCGCTATCCAGGGTGTCATTGCCTGCATTAGGGGTACTGGTTGGTAGCACTCCACAGGGCTGCACTACCCACGGCAGGGAGGGTGGGTTATGGGTGCTTTCTGGGGCTGCAATGCCCATGGAGGAGGACAGGTTAGGGCACTATCGGGTATACGCTACTGGTGGCATTGGGGGACGGAGGTGGGGGGCGCTATTGAGGGCAGGACTAGCCGTGGAGGGCGGGCGAGTTCGGTGCTATCAGGGGCTGCACTGCTGGCGGCGGTCAACAGAGTTGGCATCCAAGGAAGGAGTGGTTCTCCTCTCCCTGACTCCACACTCCAGATGGCGACCCACTCTTGGTCATACTGGAGTGTGGCAGGGCACGCAGCGGTTTGCATGGGAATCCTGAGCATGGCAGAGCCCCCACACCCACCGTGGTTCCTGGGCCTGTGCACTCTGGGTCTGTGCCTCAGAGGCTGCCAGGCACCCCTGGGGACACCACGGGGGACAGGGCCCTGTGTGTGGAGGCGTCCGGAACAGGAATTGGCACCTGGGTGTGGAGGGCTGGTTGGGTCTGAATTTTTCTGCTTCTCCTGTTCCCCGAGGAGTGCAGCCCTGGTGGGCCCAATGGTTCCTGTGGAGTGGGGAGCTGGAAGCTGTGGTGTCTCCAGCACCCACCCCAGACCCCAGTTCCCAGACAGCTTGGGCCAAAAGGAGAGGCTGGACTTTGGAGGGTGGGTGTGAGTGCCTTTGCTGAAACTGGCCCCTGCCACCCAGTGGCTGGCATGACAAGTCGAGGCTCTAACACTTCCACTCCTCACAACTTCCTCTAGGCTTTTCTGGCTTTGCCCACCCAGCTGCTCCGTGCCAGGAAGAGGAGGAGACACCTAGAGCCTGCAACACCACGGCTCGCCTCGCTGCAGGTGGATGGCAGTGACGGAGGCTGCAGTGCGCCAGAGCGGTAGGAGAGCGGCCGTGCTAGGAGGGCAGGCGGCTGCAGGCAGGGTTGGGAGTCAGGCTTACAGCGATGGACGGGCTGCAGCAGTGGCCAGGTGGTAGAAGCCTTG
The DNA here is from genome assembly GCF_000001405.40 of Homo sapiens. NCBI lineage: Eukaryota > Metazoa > Chordata > Mammalia > Primates > Hominidae > Homo > Homo sapiens. Next base: position 10,632,232 of record NC_000022.11, read on the forward strand.
TAGGGAGGGCTGGTGCATTGGCAATGGGCCTGGCTTTGCCCTGCGCCTGCCGTGGATCTGGCCCTGTACTGCCCTGCCTTGCCCTGTACCTGCCCTACTGTTACCTGGACTGTCTCGGCCCTGTCCTGCTCTGGTCCCATCCTGACCGTGTCTTGGCCCTGTGCTACCCTGTCCCTGCCCTGGTCTTGCCCTGGCACTGGCCCTGCCCTGAACCTGCACTGGCCTGACCTTGGCTCTGGCCCTCGCTCTGGCCCTGCCCCTTGTCCTGACCCTGGTCCTGTCATGGCACTGGCCCTGCCAATGGTCATGGTCCTGCCCCTGTTCTGGCCCTGACCTGGCCTTGGAAATGTCCTGGCCCTGCTTTGGCCCATCCCTGCCCTGGCCCCACCATGGGCCTGCCTGTTCTGCCCTCTCCTGGCACTGACCTTGCCCTGTCATGGCCCAGTGGTGCCATTGCCCTGCCTTACGCTGCGCTGGTTGTGCCTTGGCCCCGCTTGGTGCTGGCCGCTCCCTGGACCTGCCCTGACCCTGCCTTGGCTTTTGCCCTGCCCTCACTATGGGCTGGCCCTGGCCCTAGCCCTGGTCCTGCCATATCCCTGGCCCTGCCCTTATCCAGGCCTTGCCCCTGCTGCTGCCCTGGCCCTGGCCTGGAACCTGGTCCTGTCAAGGACCTGCCCTGACTCTGCCATGGCCCTGGCCCTGCTCTGCCTTGTTCCTGGCCCTGACCCAGACCCAGACCCATTCCTGGCTCTGCACTGGCCTTTCCCTGGCCCTGAGCTGGCAGTGGTCTGCCCCTGGTCTTGCCATCACCCTGCCCTGCTGTGCTCTGGATGTGTCATCACCCTGCCCTGCCCCTACTCTGCCTTTGACCCTGCCCTGGCCTTACCTTGGCCCTCACCCTAGTCTTCGCTAGGCCCAGCACAGACCTGGCTCTGACCCTGGCCCAGCACAGACCTGGCTCTGACCCTGGCCCTGGTCTTTGTCCTGCCATAGCCTTGGCCCTGAAGTGGACTTGGAGGTGTCCTGGCCCTGGTGTAACATGGCTCTTCTTTGGCCTGTCTCAGCCCTGCCCCTACCATCGCCTTGCCCTGCTCTGCCCTGCCCCAGTACTGACCCGGCCATGCTATTTCCCTGCCCTACCCTGCCTTGGCTGTGCCCTGGCTCGGTTCTGGCCCTGGCCCCGGCCTTGCCCTGGACATGCTCTGACACTGCCTCAGCCTTGGCACTAGCCTGGCTCTTTCTTGGCATCAGCCCTGCTCTCTCTGTGGACTGGCTCTTGTCCTTTCCTGCCCTGGCCATACCATGCCCTGCCCTGCCCTGCCCTGACTCAGCCCTGACTCAGCCTTGGCCTTGGCATTGTCCCTGGTCCTGCCATATTTCTTGCCCTGTCCCTACCCTAGCCTTGGCCCTGACCCTTACCTTGCTGTGGCCCTGCCCTTGCCCTAACGCAGCCCCTGGTCCTGTCATGGCCCTGCCCTGGACCTGTCCTGGCCCTGGCCCTTCCCTGCTTGAGACCTTGCCCTGGTTCTCCCCTGGCCCTGACCCTGAAATGCCTGGCCCTACCCTGGCCTTGCACTGCTCTGGCCCTTGCCCTGACTCTGGTCCTGTCACTGACCTAGCCCCAGCCCTGTTGCTGGTCTTACCATGGCCCAGACCCTGCCTTGGCCCTGCCCTGACACTGTCCTGGACCCTGGCTGTGCCAAGAACCTGCACTGTCCTTGCCCTTGTTTTGCTCCTGCCCCGAACCTGGTCCTTCCCAGGCCGTGGCCGTGGCCCTGGCCCTGGCCCTGCCCAGGTCTTGGCACTGGCCTGGCCCTGCCCTGCCCTGGCCCTATGCTTTCCTGGCCCTGCCTTGGCCCTAGCCTGGCTTTGACCCTGCCCTGGCCCTACCTTGGCCTTCACCCTAGCCTTACCTGGGCACTGTGTTTGACCTGGCTATAGCAAAGACCTGGTTGTAGCCCTGGCCCTGCCGTGGCCTTGTCCCAGACCCTAGCCCTGCCAGGTACCTGTCCTGGCCCAGCTCTGGGCCTGGCTTTGTCCCTGGTTCTTAGATGACCCTGGCCCTGCCCCTGCCCTTGCCCTTGCCATGGCACTGGCCTTGGACATGTCTGTGGTCCTAACCCTGGCCCTGCCCTGGAGCTGCCACTGTCTTGGCCCTGCCCTGGCTCTGGCCCTGCCCCAGCCCTGGCCCTGCCCCGGCCCCAGCCATAGACCTGCCCTGGTTGGTCGTGCCCTACCTTAACCCTGTGCTACCCTGGGCCTGCTCCACCCTGCCCTGGCCCTGCCCTCCCTTTGGGCCTGCTCTGACCCCGCCTTGGCCCTCACACTGGCCCTAGCACAGACCTGGTCCTATCTGTGGCCTTGGCCTGGCATTGACCCCTGCTCCTGACCCTGGTCCTGCCATGGCCCTGGCCCTGCCAATGACCCTGGCAGCCCTTACCCTGGCCCTGTCTTGACCCTGGCCCTGAACTGGCCCTGCCCTGACCTGGCCCTGAAGTGGATTTGCAGGTGTCTTGTCCATGATTTAACCTGGTCTTACCATGGCCCTGTCCCTCCCCTGGCTCTGTCCTGGTCTTGTGCTGACCCTGACCCAGACCTTGGCCCTGCCCCAGCCTTGTCCTTGACCTGGCCATGGCCCTGCCTCTGCCGTGGACCGGCACTGGCACTGGCATGGACCCTGGCCCTGGCCCTTCACTACTTAAGGCCATACTCTGGCCCAGCCCTGGTCCTGACCCTGTCCTGGCCCTAGCCCCGTTGCTGGTCCTGCCATGGCCCTTGTCCTGACATTGCCCTTTCCTGGTTCTGGCCCTGGCCCTGTCCCAGCCCTGCTCTGGCCCTGGTCTGAACCCTGGCCTTGCAATAGACCTGCCTTGGTCCTGCCCACACCCTGGCTCTGGCCCTGCCTCTGCCCTGGCCATACCCTTGCCCTGGCCTGGACTCCAGTCCTGGTCCTTGTCCTGCCCCAGCCATGGCCCTGGCCCTGCCCTGCCTGTGCCCTGTTCTATCCTGGGCTGGCCCTGCCATGACCTGGTCTTGCCATTGCCCTGCCCTAGCCTGCCATGCTTGTGCCCTAGATCTGCCCCGCTTGTGCCCTAGATCTGCCCCAGCCTTTGCCCCTGTCTTGGTTCTAACCTTGACTCAGCCCTGGACCTTCCCTGACCTTGCCTCAGCCCTGGCACTACCCTGGCCTTGCCTTGGCATTTGCCCTACTCTCTCTATGGCCTGGCTGTGGTCCTGCCCTGCTCTGCTCTTGTTCTGTCCTGGCACAGCCCTGGCCCTGGCCCTGGCCCTGCTGTATCACTGGCTCTGGTCCTGCCCTTATGCAGACCTGACCCTGCCACCGCCTTGGCTTTGGCCTGGACCTTGGCCATACAGTGACCCTGCCATGACCCTTTCCTGGCCCTGGCCTGGAACCTGGCCCTGCCAAGGACTCGCCCTGGCTCTGTCATGGCCCTGGCCCTTTCCTGGATTTGGATGTGTCCTGTCCCTTATTTGCCCCGGCCCTTCCCTGGCTCTTCCATACCCCTTCTCTGGGGTAGGGCCAGGGTCAGGACCAGACCAGGGCAGGGTCAGAACCAGACCAGGGCAGGGTCAGGACCAGGGTAGGGCCATGGTAAGGCCTGAAGATGGGAAGGGCCAGGGCAGCGGCTGGACCACAGAAGGGTCAGGGCCAGGGATGTAGTAGGACTAGGGGCAGAGCCAGCACTAGGGCTGAGCCAGGGCAGAGCAGGAGAGATTACTTTAGGTTATTATGTAAAATTTTTATTTTAGATTTTTAAGATAACTATAGTAGTAGTAATGTCTATACTATGTTGTTTGTAATAGTAATAATATTTGTAGTAATCACTAAATTTTAACTAATACTATCTTTGCTTCCAGTAGTGTTCTATGAGTATAATTTTATCAACATGTAAATATGTGAGGCATTGATTCTCACAATAATTCTATGTGCTAGGTACTTAAAGCATCTCCATTTTCCAAATGTAGGAAACAGGCATAAAGAAGTTAAATACTTGGCCAGATTACTCCTGTAATCCCAGCACTTTGGGAGGCCAAGGCAGGCAGATGGCTTGAGCTCAGGAGTTTGGAACCAGCCTGGGCAACATTGTGAAACCCCATCTCTACTAAAAATGCACAAAAAGAACTAATTTAAGTTTCTTGTAGGATTCTGGTTATAAAACACTGGTCAAACACACAGGGCATGGATAGGGCAGGGCCAGGGACAAGGTCAGGCCAGGAAGGGGCCAGGGCCAAGGCAGGGCCAGAGCTGGAATTGGAGGTGTCCTGGTCTGATTTGCCCTGCCCCAACGTTGGCCCAGCCCTGCTCTGGCACGTCCTGTCATGCCCTGTCCCTGGCCTGAGCATTGGCCCTGTCCCTGTCCTGCTTCTTGCCCTGCCCCGGAGTTGACCAGGCACTGCCATGGCCCAGTCCTGCATTGCCCTGCCCTCCTCTGCCCTGGTGCTACCATGGCCCTGCTTGGGCCCTAGCTCTGCCTCGACTCTGGACCTGCCCTGACTCTGCTCAGCCCTGGATCTACCCTGACTCTGCCTTGGTGTTGCCCTCCCATCTCTATGGCCTGGCTCTGGCCATGCCTTGCACAGGCCATGCTCTGCCCTGCGTGCCCCAGCCTGGGCCCAGCCCTCATCCTACCATATTCCTGACCCCAGCCATACCCTTGTTCTGGCCATGACCCTGCCATGGCCCTCTCCTGGCCCTTCCTTGGTCCTGCCCTGCCCTTCCATGCCCTGGCCTTGCCCTCACCCTGCATTGGCCCTGCACTGGTCCTGCCCTGCCCTGGCACTGCCTTGGCCCTGGCCCTGCCTTCTCCCTGGCCTTGCCTTTGCCCTGCCCTGGCCTGACCCCAGGCCTACCGAGTCCATGAAATGGCCCTGGACCTGCCTTGCCATCCTCTGTCCTTGTCCTGTATTGTCCCCACCATGCTCTGGTCCAGTGCTTGCCCTAGCCCTGTTGCTAGTCCTGCCACTGCTATGGCCCTGCTCTGTTTTTGGCCATGCCCTGTGCTACCCTAGCCCTGCCCTGCCTTGGCCTTGGCCCTACCATGGCCTTCTCCTACCCTGGCCTGGCCATACACTGGCCTTTTCTACCCTGGCCTTGCCCTGCCCTGGCCTTGCCCTGCCCTGGCCTTGGCTTTGCCTTATCCTGGTCCTGGTTCTGCCCTGACCCTGGCCTTGCTCTGGCCCTGTCCCTGGCCCAGCCTTGACCCTGACCCTGGCCCTGACAATCCCCAGGTCTGACACTGGCCATGCTTGGCCCTGGCCCCTCCTTTTGGCCCTGCCCTGTCCCTGCCTTGGCCCTGTGCTATCTTAGTCCTGCCCTGGCCCTGAACTCGCCCTGGCCCTACCCTCACCCTACACTGGCCCCGCCCTACCCTGGCCTTGCCCTGCCCTGGCCCTGCCTTTGGCCTGCTGTGGCTCTGGTTCTGCCCTGGCCTTGCCCTTGCCCTGGACTCTCCCTGGCCATGTTTTTTCCACGGTCCTTCTCTGGCCTTGCCCTTGCCCTGTCCTCTTTCTGGTCCTGCCATGTTTCTGGCCCTGCCCTGTCCATGTTCTGGACCTGACTCTGGCCCTGGATCTCCCTGTCCCTGCCCTGCCATACCCTGGCCTGTTCCTTGCTCTACACTGACCCTGCCCTGCCTTGGCCCTGTGCTACCCTAGTCCTGCCCTGACCTTCTGCTGACCCTGATCCTGCCATGGCCCTGGCCCTGCCATGTCCCTGTCCTGGCCCTGGTTCTGCCCTGCTTCTGGCCCTGGCCTTAGTCCTCTCATGTCCCTGGCTGTGACCCTGCCCCTGGTTTTTCTCTGGCCATGACCCTGCCCCAGTTCTGTCCTATACCTGGCCCTGTCTCAGTTCTGTCCTAGCCCTGGCCTTTCACAGTACTTTATGCTTAGTAAGGGCTCCATGGTGTCTGTGAGTTGAATGTTGTGTTCATAGCATCTGCCAAAACAGAAACAAAAAAACAAAATATTTTGATAAGAAGTTAAAGCTTTGTATATAATATGCCTTGAATTGTTAGTGCCTGTTATTAGTTGTATTACATATAGGTCATGGTTTTGTACACATAACTCCAAACCATTGATACTGTTAAAAGAATATATGAATATATGAAAGAATGTGTAAACGTAAGAATGTATCAGTATCTAATGACCTTTCCAAATTAATTTTTATTTTTAGCTCTATTAGATTTTTCTCAGTGTAACAAATGTTTATTCCTATGTAATTAAGGGCGTATTTCCTGTCCAGAATATTCATATTACCTAATTGAAAATTATATGATACAAAAATATAATACTATTTTTAGGCCAGGCATGGTGGCTCATACCTGTAATCCCAACATTTTGAGAGGCCAAGTTTGGAGAATCATTTGAGTCCAGGAGTTGACCAGCCTGGGCAACATAGTGAGACCTTGTCTTTATTAAATAAATAAATAAATAAATAGGTTGGGCACTGTGGCTTATATCTGTCATCCCAGCATTTTGGGTTGCCAATGCAGGAGGATTGCTTGAGCCCAGGAGTTTGAGACCAGCCTGGGCAGAATAGCAAGACTCCATCTCTACAAATAATAAAATATTAACCAGGTGTGGTGGTGCGCACCTGGGGTCCCAGCTACCTGGGAGGCTAAGGTGGGAGGTTTGCTCGAGGTTGCAGTGAACTGTGAATGCACCACTGCATTCCAGCCTAGGCCACAGAACAGGACCTTGTCTATAAATAAAGAAATAAGTAAAAATATAAATAAAAATAAGTAAAAATAAATATAAGTAAATATAAATATAAATACATATAAAAATGCATACATGAAAAGAAACGATTTTTAAATTTAACATCACTGAGGGCATCCTATCCATTTCATTTCATGATTCCATCACATCATTTCACTTAGATGAAATGATAAGATGACTTGAGATGAGATGAAATGACAAAATGATGAGATGAGATGAGATGATGAGATGAAATTTTGAGATGAAATGGTGAGTAGAAATGATGAGATGAAATTATGAGACGAAATGACAAAATTGAAAAGAAATTGAAAGGAGATGAGATGAGTTAAAATGAGATGAAATGATGAGATGATGGATGAAATGATGAGATAAAACGAGCCATGAAATGATGAGATGAAATGAAATGAAATAATGAAATGATATGAAATAATGAAATTGAAATGAGATGAGATGAGATGAAATGAGATAAAATGATGAGATGAAATGAGATGAATGATGAGATGAAATGATGAGATGAAATGAGATGAAAAATGATGAGACAAAAAATGAGATTAAATGAAATGAAATAATGAAAGGAAATTATGAAATGTAATGATGAAATTGAAATGAAATTGAAATGAGATGAGTTGAAATGATGAGATGTAATGATGAAATGAAATGATGAAATGAGATGAAATAATGGGATGAAATGAGATAATGAGATGAGATGAGATGAAATCATGAGATGAAATGATGAAATGAAATGATGTATGAAATGATGAGATGAAATGAGATGAAATGTAATGAGATGAAATGAAATGACATAATGAAATGAAATAATGAAATGAGATGAAATGAAATAATGAAATGATGAAATAATGAAATGGAAATGATGAGATGAGAAGAAATGATGAGATGAAATGATGAGATGAGATAAAATGAGATGAAATTATGAGATGAAATGAAATGAGATGAAATATGATGAGATGAAATGACATAATGAATGAAATGATGAAATGGAATAATGAAACGGAAATGATGAGATGAGATGCAATGAGTTGAAATGAGATGAAATGATGAAATGATGAGATGAAATGATGAGATGAGATGTGATGAAATGATGACATGAAATGATGACATAAAATGAGATGAAATGAGATGTAATGATGGAAAGAGATGAGATGAAATGAGATGAAATGATGAGGTGAGATAAAATGGTGATATGAAATGATGAGATGAATGATGAGATGAAATGAGATGAATGATGAAATGATGAGATGAGATGAGATGATGAGATGAAATGATGAGATGAACTGATGAGATGAAATGAAATGAAATAATGAAATGAAATTGAAATAAAATTGAAATGAGATGAGATGAAATGATAAGATGAGATGATGAAATAAAATGATGAAATGATGAGATGTGATGAGATGAAATGATGAGATGAGATGAGATGAGGTGAAATAATGAAATGAAATAATGAAATGAAATTGAAATGAGATGAGAAGATACGAGATGAGGTGAAATGATGAGATGAAATGATGAAATGATGAGATAAGATGAAAAGAGTTGATGAGATGAGATGAAATGAGATGAAAAGAGATGAAATGATGAGATGAAATGAAATGATGAGATGAAATGAGGTGAAATGAAATTAGACGAAATGTAATGAGATGAAATGAAATGACATAATGAAATGAAAAAATGAAATGACATAATGAAATGAAAAAATGAAACGAAATAATGAAATGAGGTGAAATTAAATGAGATGATGAAATTAAATGATGAAATGAAATAATGAAATGGAAATGAAACGGAAATGATGAGATGAAATGACGAGATGAATGATGAGATGAAATGATGAAATGCAATGATGAGATGAAATGATGAAATGATGAGATGAGATGAGATGTAATGATGAGAGGAAATGATGAGATGTAATGAAATGAGATGAAATGAATGAGATGAAATGAAATAATGAAAGGAAATTGAATTGAGATATGAGATGAAATGATGAGATAAAATGAGATGAAATAAATGATGAGATGAAATGATGAAATGCTGAGGTGAGATGAGATGAAATGAGGAGATGAAACGATGAGATGAAATGAAAGGACGAGATGAAATGATGAGATGAGGTGAGATGAGGTGAGATGAGATGAAATGAGATGAAATGATGAAATGAGATGAGAAGAAATGATGAGATGAAATGAGATGAGATAAAATGATGAGATGGAATGAAATGAAGTGAAATGAAATGAAATTGAAATGAGATGAGATGAAATGAGATAAAATGATGAGATAAAATGATGAGAAGAAATGAGATGAAATGATTAAATGATGAGATGAGATGATGAGATAAAAAATGATAAGATGAAAAATGATGAGATGAAATGAGATGAAAGGAAGTAATGAAATAATGAAATGAGATGAAATGAAATGATGAAATGATGATATTGAAATGAAATTGAAAGATGAGATGAAATGATGAGATGAAATGATGAAATGTTGAAATGAAATGATGAAGAGATATGACATGAAATGATGAGCTGAAATGATGAGATGAAATGGAATGAAATGAGATTAAATGATGAGATGAAAAATGATGAGATGAAATGATGAGATGAAATGAGATGAGATGAATTGAGATGAGATGAGATGAGATGAGATGAAATAATGAAATTAGGTGAAATAATGAAATGAGATGAAATAATGAAATAAAATTGAAATGAGATGAGAAGAAATGAGATGAAATGTTGAAAAGAAAGGAAGAAATGATGAGATGAGGAGATGAAATGATGAGATGAAATGAATTGAGATGAAAAATGGTATGAAAAATGATGATATCAAAAATATGAGATGAAATGAAATGAGATGATATGAAATGACATAATGAAATAAGTGAAATTAGATGAAATGAAATAGTGAAATGAAATGATGAAATGAAATAATGAAAATTAAATGGAAATGGGATGAGATGAGATTTGATGAAATGATGAGATGAAATGATGAGATGATATGAAATGATGAGATGAGATGGGATAAGATGAAATGATGAGACAAAATGATGAGATGAAATGATGAGATGAAATGATGAGATGAAATGATGAGGTGAAGTGATGCACTGTCACGTGTGTGTCTTTTTCCCAACCAAAAAAATTATAATTCATTAATTTTACTTTATTATTTAAGAATATTCTTAAGAGTTGAAGGAAAAATAATATCTGTACATTATGGGTTACAATTAAGTATAAATAATACATAAATATATTAAAACTTACAAAGAATATATTTTGGAATCGAATATACCATGCTTCTGTGATGACAGTTATTTCATGCTGGTTGTCACAATTTTACATGAAAAACTAATGAAAAAATGTTTTTAACTGTTTCTAAAAATAACAGTTTCCAAAACAGTTTTACTTTCAAAATATGAAAAAGATGTATTTGTGTTCCTTAATCTGATGAGATTTTCACACTCTGCACATAATTGTTAGATTTTTATTGTGTTGATAAATTGTATATCAAATAAAAAATGTTATTACCTCTTAAATTAGGATTTTTAGGTGATATAGGCAGAAAGGAAGGCAAGTTTTTATAACTTTGTCTAAATGAACTTTCTAAATGCCTGAGTATTAAAAGATAGCATGTCTATAAATCACAATATATATATTACTGTATGACGTAGGACAAATCAAAACCATTACCTCTGATAACATTATATTGTGCCCAGTATAAAATAGATATAATAATACCTCAAACTTAAATCCAGGCATTGTCATTGAATATCTTAAGAATATGCAGCAAAGGTGCTTTTAAAAATACAAGCTAGTGATTGTACTAAATTTGTAAATCACATAGGGTAGTGGGTCATTTTAAGAATATTATTTCAATCTATAAACGTGGATGTCTTTCCTTTTTTGTGTTTTCTTTAATTTCTTTCATTAATATTTGTCATTTTTGTTGTCAAAATCTTTTACTTCCTTGGTTAAATTTATCTCTAAGTACATTTTTGTAGCTATTGTAAAAGGAATTGCTTTCTTAATTTCTTGTTTCAGCTAGTTTACTATCAATATGTAGAAATGCTACTGATTTTTGTATGTTGATTTATATCCTGCAACTTTATTAATTTCATGTATCACCCTAAGAAGCTTTTGGTAGAGTCTTATTTTTTTCCATGTATAAGATCACATTGTCTTTAAACAGGGACAATTTAACTGTCTCCTTTCCAATTCAGATGTCCTTTATTTCTTTCTCTCACCTAATCGTCCTGGCTAAGACTTTCACTATGTGAAATATGATTGGTGAAAATAGGCATCCTTTTCTTGTTCCAGTATAATCTTTTTCTTGTTCACAGTAAAATCTTTCACCTTTTCCACACTCAGTATGATCTTAGCTGTAGATTTGTCCTTTATGTCCTTTGTGTTAAGGCATATATTTTCTATACTAAATTGATGAGAGGTTTTTTGTCATGTAAGAATATTTAATTTTGCCAAACGCTTTTATTGTGTTTATTAATTTAACCATATGGTTTTCAGTATATATCCAAAGGAAAGAAAATCAGTATATCAAAGAGTTACCTGCACCCCCATGTTTATTACAGCACTATGCACAATAGCCAAGATATGGAATCAACAAAAGTGTCCATCAACAGATGAATGGATAAAGAAATGTGACATACATATATAATGGAATATTATTTAGTCATAATAAAGAACAAAATCCTGTTATTTGTGGCAACAAGAATGCAAGTGGAGGGCATTATGTTAGGTGAAATAAGCCTGGCATAGAAACATAAACACCACATAACTACGTGTTCTCACTTATGTATGGAAGCTAAAATTTTTAATCTCGTAGAAATAGATAGTAGAGTTTTGGTTACCATATCCTGGAAAGAGTAGGAGACAGAAAAGTATAAGAAAAATGTGGTTAATACATACAAAATTACAGCTGGAGAGAAGGAAGAAGTTCTAGTTCTCTACAGCACTGTTGGGTGACTGTAGTTAATGGGAATTTATTGTGTGTTTTCAAATAACTAAAATAAAAGATTTTGAATATTCTCACTGCAAAGAAATAATACATGATTTAGGTAATGGATATGATAATGACTCTGACTTGATCTTTACGCATTGCATAAATATATCAAAATATCACTCTGTAACCCATAATATGTACATTTATTATATGTCAATTAAAGTAAATTTAAAAAAGAAAAGATGAGGTAAAGGTAAATGTACAGAATTTAATTGCTTTTTCTTCTATAAAACTCGAGTCAGTACCAAGAAGAATCAATTTATTAGTTTTCTAAAATAAAAACAATCAAAATCTCCAAAAAAGAGCAATATCCAAGAAAACATTGAAAATGAAACACAACATTTAGTAAGAATAGAAAACTTGGGCACTGTATCACCCTGTTCCTAGATACCGATTTACTGATGGCCATTTAAATAGAATTTTATTCTATCTAATTCATTTATACTCCCAGAGTTCAAAATTACATTTTACCTACAATAAATGAGATAACACTTGTAAATTATATGGTACTCTGACTAACACACGTTAATAACTCAATACATGTTAGCAATAAACTTTTAGTATAGTAGTCAAAGTATTAATTTCTCACATTGCAATTTCCTTCAAAGACATGAATACAACCTTTCTAATGACTCCTTGTTCATCAAGATACCTCTTCAAATTATTCTATTTGTTTCATTCAGTATATTGTCTGTGCATACCGATATTACACTCTTTTCTTTTTTTGAGATGGAATCTCATTCTGTTACTGATGCTGGAATGAGGTGGCATGATCTTGGTTCACTGCAACCTCCACCTCCCAGGTTCAAGCGATTCTCCTGTCTCAGCCCCCCAAGTAGCTAGGACTACAGGTGCACACCACCATGCCTGGCTAATTTTTGTATTTTTAGTACAGTCAGAGTTTCACCCTGTTGTCCAGGCTGGACTCGAACTCCTGACCTCAGGTGATCCACCCACCATGGCCTCCCAAAGTGCTGGGATTACAGGCATAAGCCACCGCACCCAGCCTGATATTGCACTCTTGGATTTTGAACACTGAATATCTTTTTGAAAGATTACACCTCTTCACCTCTTCGTGCTTCAGAAATTATTTTCCTTCAAGTGTTCTAAGAGTCTAATGAAGAATGAAGTCATGTTTTATCACTTTTGTCCTTAAAGATTTCAGACATGCTGAAACTGATTGAAGTATCATTTGCTACCCGATAGATTAATTATCTCTAGTTGTAGGAGTGGATACATCTTTAATGGTATATTTTTGGTTATTGTCTTATTTTTGATGTAGTATTCTATCAATAATTTATTAAACCTGGCATCCTTGGGTGAGCATAGATTTTTCAACTTTGGTGTTATATTGTGTTTGCTTTTAAAAACTGCTTTTGAGGCCAGGTATGGTGGCTCTTGCCCATACCCAGCACTTTGGAAGGCCAAGGTGGGCGGATTACCTCAGGTCAGGAGTTCAAGACCAGCCTGGTCAACATGGCAAAACCATGTCTCTACTAAAAACACAAAATTAGCCAGGCATGGTGGTGCATGCTTATAGTCCTAACCACTCGAGAGGCTGAGGCAAGAGAATCACCTGAACCTGGGAGGCAAAAGTTGCTAGGTTGCTGTGAGGCAAATTCACACCATTGCACTCCAGCCTGGGTGAAAAGAGCAAAACTCTGTCTCAAAAAAAAACCCACCAAAAACTGCTTCTGAATGGAATTGTACATGCAATTTTGATGAAAAAAATTATCAAGTGCATAAGTTCATAATAGAAAAACAAATAATTCTCCAGGCACAAGTTAGTACTAAAAAAATTATGTTGAATATTCTCTAATACAACATGCTTTTTCCCTTCATGAACAATTTGTGTTTTACTGAGAAGAGTCATTGTTTATGGTAGACATTAGACCACAGATGAATATGTACTTTAAACACTCTTAGTTACTTTCTTAATTTTATATCTGCTGCTTCATGCTTCTGTTTATTTTCATTCTTTCCAATGTCCACATTCTAGTAAATTTGAATATTTTAATCCGTTTATATACTATTTAATATTGCTTGTATAGTTTAGTATTGTTAAGACTCAAAAAGGTTTACAGAAAGAAGAAAAAGATCAACATGTTATTAATCATTTAAAGATCTTTTGAAATCTTTGACCTTTATATTTTAATGAATAAAATATTAGTAGTTATTAGTATAAAATAATTTATGTCTTTTGGACTTAGCATCCAGTATTTTTTTAATAAAGAAAATAATTATTCTCTTGCAATATACTATGTTTATCTGGGTTTTGAAAAGTGCTGTTTCCTAATATGAGAAAGCCATTTACATTTTTAAATCTACAAAGGCAAATGGAATGGTACTAAATTATTTACATAATAATGTTTAGATGGTGGCCCTTATAACATTCTTTCTATACTTCCTACAGAGTTGCAGATATGCAACCATAGAATATTTCTGGGAGCTAATCCTTTAGCTTGATGAATGAAACAAGACTTTTAAATAAAATTAAACTTTCAAATTATCCAGGTAATGGGCCTGTCTTTTAATTCAATGGATATGGAGCATAATGAATTATCCCTGTTCATTGGGTAATAAGTTTTCATTCTTCTAATACTCAAAATGTCCTTTAATTTTTAATAGTCATATCATTATCCCTAGGTATTTTAGCTTCTATCTTAAACTCTAAAATAATTTTGAAACAGGAGAAAGTATTCTTTATTACTATATGTATTAAACATCATGGTTTTCAAATTTAACTGCAAATGTATCTTTTCATTGCTTCTTGGTGATGCCCTTCACCCTATCCATATTGTCACTACCAAGTGGTGATTACTTTTCAGGCTCACATACTTATTCTTTAGAAAAATCTCTGTGCCTTATAAAGAATATGATTGTTGGCATTCAAAAGCCAGCGAAGTATACATTATTAGCCTGTTGCCTAACTCATTTCTTTAAGAAACTACACTAATTACCCACATACTTATGTTTTTATTTCCTCATTATTTCTGGAGAAAACAAATACTGCTAACATGATATTTGTAAGAGAGAAAAAAGTCTTTTCTTGAAAAGTGCTGTCATTGTAGTACTAACTTATAGTATCAACTTCTTTATAAACTCCTTATACACTTTTTATTCTGAGAGAAATAAAAAAGCTAAAAGTGAAATGACTTTTTTAACTCCCCATATTATAAGCACCCATGTTGGTAATTTAGGGTCTTTATAGTTAGGGTAAGTTGTGTCATACCGAGATTACAAAATAAAAAGTATTTTGTCTCTTTGGGCCTTTCCTTATTCAGTAATACTGTCAGTTTGGCTTTTTTTGTAGGTCAACTTATTGATATCAGTATTCTGAAATAATATGTTTACTATCTTTTGATAAGCATTTAAAATATTAGATTTATTGTTACTCTTCTGCCTTCATTGGGCTGGAAGAATAATTGTTTCTCACTCCACAAAGGCCAAGTTGCAGAGAAAAACACATAGACATTCAACTGCAAAGCAGAGAAACTTGACTATTTCCTGCAGTTTTAAAGTGTATATTGAATAAAACCATCTTTTTATTTTCTTTTTTGCTCACTGACAAATATTAACAATATCAAGTGTGTTATTATAATGTTATCTAGTTAAAAATCTCAAAAAGTTTTCATAATTACCATTTAAAGATATATAAGTAGGTGACCTAATGTTAATTTTTATTGTCTGAGACCATGTCTGTTATTTCACTCTTTAAATTCAATTAGTAATGCAGAACCTAGCACTTAGTACTCAAAAATTATTTGCTGGATAAAAAAAGGTTAAACATGTAATATATACAAAATGTACTGGAAAAAATGCACCAAACAATTTTGTTATACCAGTTTAATGTAGAATATTGCCTTTAAAAGATAATATAGTTTTCAGGTGTCTACAGTGATTTTGTAATATTTGTGCACATATAAAATAATATTTCCAAAAATGTAATCCAGTGAGGAAATATACTCTCTAAATTCTAGATTTATAATTTAGGGTTTAAATTATAAAATCATTAAATAAGATACAAGTGAAATATAGTCAAATATCCCCTTGGAAAAAAATTAAGTGGCCTTTAAAGTGAGGTATTCATATATGTAATTTTACAATCCTCTAGTGATAGAATTAATTAAATAAGCCACCAAATTGATTAATTCCTACAGTGTTAAAAGAGAAGCACTAACAATACCGGTGACCATGTAACATGGATTTAAGCTACAAGTCATAGAAATGTGATGAGAAGCCTCAGCGCTGTAAAACAGAGGGTGGAGGAAAGCTTTTCCTCTCTCAAATGAGCTTTGCGAGGTATACTTCTTGAAGGATAGGAAGTTGAAGTGTTCAGGACTTTTATGTCTATTCTACTTTGGCTTAGTTTACATGATTCTTAGTTTATTAGCCTAGAAATGGCCAAGAAAACTTAAGGCTCAATAATTAGTTATAAATATGAAATATCCCCAATTTTTAAGATAAAAACAACTTATAAATGTATTTGTCTGTAAAAATTGTGTATATTTTTACAGAACATCTATTTCTTTTTTTCTTTTTTAATTTTTTTATTATACTTTAAATTCTAGGGTACACATGCACAATGTGCAGGTTTGTTGCATATGTATACATGTGCCATGTTGGTGGGCTGCACCCATTAACTCATCATTTATATTAGGCATATCTCCTAATGCTATCCCTCCCCCCTCCCCCCACCCCACAACAGGCCCTGGTGTGTGATGTTCCCCTTCCTGTGTCCAAGTGTTCTCATTGTTCAATTCCCACCTATGAGTGAGAACATGCGGTGTTTGGTTTTTTGTCCTTGCGATAGTTTGCTGAGAATGATTGTTTCCAGCTTCATCCATGTCCATACAAAGGACATGAACTCATCATTTTTTATGGATGCATAGTATTCCATGGTGTATATGTGCCACATTTTCTTAATCCAGTCTATCATTGTTGGACATTTGGGTTGGTTCCAAGTCTTTGCTATTGTGAATAGTGCCGCAATAAACATACGTGTGCATGTGTCTTTATAGCAACATGATTTATAATCCTTTGGGTATATACCCAGTACTGGGATGGCTGGGTCAAATGGTATTTCTAGTTCTAGATCCCTGAGGAATGGCCACACCGACTTCCACAATGGTTGAACTAGTTTACAGCCCCACCAACAGTGTGAAAGTGTTCCTATTTCTCCACATCCTCTCCAGCACCTGTTGTTTCCTGACTTTTTAATGATCACCATTCTAACTGGTGTGAGATGGTATCTCATTGTGGTTTTGATTTGCATTTCTCTGATGGGTCTATTTCTTTAAAACAAAGGGAGGGGAGTCTCTCATTTACATTAGTTTTTTTCATAGCCTTTTGGACTTTGCAATTTCTATGTTTTGGAACCTATTTCTTACAGTTTTTCTATGCTAAACTCTGTCCTGGTCAGTTCCAGAGTGTATGAAGAACCAAATGATGTAATTGTATGTGACCTGGCTGTAGTGGAACAAATTTGACTCTTAAGTATGCAGGCTCTAATTTTCCTGTCTGGTTTTGGTAAGTATTCCTTACATAGGTTTTTTCTTTGAAAATCTGGGATTGAGAGGTTGATGAATGAAAATTAATCCTTTCACTTTGTTGTATATAAGTTTGCAATAATTAGGTCAGAGTGGAGTTTTAAGGTCATGAAGGAGGCTGATGACTTACAAATAATGGGCTCTGATTGGGCAACTACTCATCTGAGTTCCTTCCATTTGACCTAATTAAGCTTATGAAATTTACACTAAGCCATGAGCTCATCTTTAAAAAGTCTTATTAAAAGATTTTCAGCTGTTCCAAATGGGACTTATTAGTGGAATGTATTTTAAAGGATCATATGAGATGAATGAAAGGTATTTGATCCTTTCTTTCCATAATAATAAAATGATGGTTTGGAAAAAGAGGCTACAGTCTAACCACAGTGCTATTATTAGGCTTTCTTGTTAAACATAGGTCTAAGCCTAAGTATGTCAATACAACAAATACTTACTGTTTCATTTCTAGTAATGAAAAAAAAAACAAGTCTTTCTGGCATAAGGATGATTTTCATCTGGTTAT
Organism: Homo sapiens; assembly: GCF_000001405.40. Taxonomy (NCBI): domain Eukaryota; kingdom Metazoa; phylum Chordata; class Mammalia; order Primates; family Hominidae; genus Homo; species Homo sapiens. The sequence goes on from NC_000022.11 coordinate 10,650,055, forward strand.
TTTGAAACATTTTTGTAAAATAAGTTTACATCTATAAAGAATATTTTTATTTGTAAGGAGGGGTATGTCTCTGTGCACTGGAAGAGAGGGAGGACTAAATCACTGGGAAGTCTTATGATAAAGAAGCCATTGGCTTAAATCAGCAAAGCAAGCCATCCCTTGGTTTAAGGTGTTTTTCCTGGCCATCCTGTCTTGACTAGAACTTTACCTACACATTCCTTTTTGGTTTAGGCAAATTATAGTATCTAAACCTGAAGTCTCAGCTCTGTGTCTTTGAGATATAAATGTTCTACCATGTCTTCTCTGGAACCTGATAACTATCTATCTCTTTAAAATGCAAGTCTAGGGAGATGACTCATCAGAAAAAGAAGAAAAAGGTATTTGGAAATTGTGCAAATTAAAGCAGCCCATGATGCCAAAGTCTACACATTCCTGAGTGAGTCAGTTCTGGCCAGTTCTAGCTGGATCAAGAGAGCTCTGCTGGGCAGGCCTGAAGAGTAGCTGGATGGCAGACACCTGAGGAGCCAGGTGCCTGAAATTTCCTCCACCTGCTTGAGGAGCGCCAAAGCCCAGGTGCTGGCTAGACAACCCCTTCTGGCTGCCTAAGCAGGTGGCAGAGGAAGGAAAAAAGGTCAGAGGCAGAGTGTTGAACCCTGCCTCCCAGGTGGGTGGAAGATGCCTGTCGCCAAACTAGGGCTCAGCTTACCGGGTGAGATGGGTGAACTGGTGATCTCCCGAGAGAGTGGACGTCAGAACTACATGGTCCTGGACTTCACCTAGGCCAGTGAAGGAGAGAGAGGGTTAATGTTAACTGCAGGAGGCCCACTCTAGCCTTAAATTTTGTAATTCAAACCCTTCCCTTGGAGACAAAACAAACATGACAAGGAATTCTGAGGTCAGGGGACAAGAATCACAAGTTCCCCAGTGGGAGACTGAGGAGGCAGTGTCCTTTCTGCCCTTGGTCTACTGGCTAAGAACCTTCCTCAGCCTGACCTTTCCACATTGCACTTTCAGCTCTGTTTGCAATTTTCCTCCTTTAGTGCTGAGGGAATCCCAGTGTTCGATACTGAAATCTATACATTCCTAATGGGTGGTTAAAAAAAAAAACCTCAGCAAGAGAAGCAGAAAATGTTTCCTCTTCCTGAAAAACTGTAGAAAGGCAGGCACCATTCTGGGTGGGACATGGTCCTTGCAAAAGTCTTTATGGTTTTTTTTTTTTTATTTTGAGATGAAGTTTTGCTCTTGTTGCCCAGACTGGAGTGCAGTGGCGTAATCTCTGCTCACTGCAACCTCTGCCTCCTGGGTTCAAGGAATTCTCCTACCTCAGCCTCCCGAGTAGCTGGAATTACAGGCACCTGCCACCATACCTGGCTAATTTTTTGTATTTTTAGTAGAGATGGAGTTTTGCCATGTTGGCCATGTTGGTCTCGAACTCCTGACCTCAAGTGAGCCACCCGCTTCTGCCTCCCAAAGTGCTGGGATTACAGGCGTGAGTCACTGTGCCCGGCCAAGATTCTGTTTTGATAGAACACTTGCGTCTCTCTCACCTTGTATTTAGAGAAGTTAGAAAGTAAAAGATAATGTATATAGAAAGCTTTTTGAAGACTCTTAAGAAGTTCATAAATATGGGGCACTATGACTATGCATATGAAAATATTTCCTATCAGTTGGCAGTTACCACCTCTTATAGTGGCATGGAACCTCTTGAGTTAAACCAAGACTCAGTGAGATTGGGTGATTTAGGTAGTGTCATTTTATGAACAAGGGGTACCCTACTCAGTTCTTTTATTTTATTATACTTCTCTTTGACATTCACTCCAGTGAAAGAACTCTTTCAAAAGACATCATGCCTGGTCTCACGGAGATTCAAAGGTGTTTGAGTCCTTCCTTATTATGCCCTTGGAAGATGCTTTGAGGACCCCAGTGATGAATCCCAAGAACTCTGTGTCCATTATCCCTGGAATAGGGCACCTCATCACTCTGGTGTTATCCCTGAAGGGCCTTCATAATAATGTGCTTAAAAGAGTCCCCTATTATGTCCTTCAGGATGGAGCTTGACTTGCCCAAATTGCTATGTACATGTTAAAGAGAGGCTGGAACTGAAGTTGGTCATTTCTCACTGGATCAGTCAACAAGGTTTGAGTACTTTCTGTGTGCTCTGCATCATTCTGAGTACAGAATAAGGCATGGCTCCTGCCTTCAAGGAGTATGGAATTTAATAGAAGATGACAACATACATGATTGTAAATCTATCTACATGAGAGTGAATAATTGTGAGATTCCTAATAAACGGCAAGATATGTTCTGAAAATGTGAAACATAAATGAGGTTGAAGAAATTGTGAAAAGTTTAGCAGAGGAGGAATAATTCGTCAGGTTCTTTAAATACAAGTAAAGGGGAAAGGAAGGACCATTTTTAAGTTTAGATATTCCAAGGGTTAGTGGTGAGGTGGATTATGGTATGTCTTCTCGTTGATGAGGGTGGAGACTGGCGAATAGTGGAAAATAAAGTTAAATAGCTAGGGTGGGGCCAAATTATGGGTTTTAATAAAAGCCAGGCATAGAAATTTAGATTGGGGTGGTAGAAAAATGAAGGCTTTAAAAGTTTTTAAGCCAATGAATGACATCATACAAGTTCTATATAAAGAGCAGTGATTTCAGGATGGGAGAGAATGACATCAGGAAGACCCACTTGAATGCTGGTAACTAATGTTACTAACAGTGCCATCAGTAACATTAATGTTACTAGGGCCTGGACTGATATGCTGATGGAAGTGAGAATGAAGAATAAGGTGGGATGAAAGAGATTTTGACAAGAGTTTTTTAATGAACCTGAAATGGGAAAGGGCGAGATTGACTAAGCCTGCTTGCCATGGACAGCAATGGGGTTGCTAGAAGATTAGCTGTGCGGAAAAAGTTATGCATTTACCTTTGGGCATAATGAAATGCAATTGACTCTCCATATTCATGGGTTCTGCATCCACCGATTCAAACAACTGTGGAACAAAATTGTCAGAAAAAACAATACAATGATAAAAAATGATACAAATAAAAAACAACATGGTATACCAACTATTTACATAGCATTTACATCGTATTAAGTGTTATTAAGTAATCTAGAGATGATTTAAAGTATATAGGAGGATGTGTGTAGGTTATATGCAAATACTACACTATTTTATACCAGTAACTTGAGCATCCATGGATTTTGGTATACAAGGGGGATCCTGGAACAAATTCGCCATGCATATCAAAGGATGACTGTATGAGTTATCTGTAAAATGGTTTGGTTGAAATGTTTAGAAAACAGCTAGAAATACAAGACTGGCTGTTGGATGAAAAAAACATAGGACTAGGAAATTCAGGTATGCTAGTCTTTTTGAGTATTGCTTAAAGCCATGGGAAAAGAGCTCTCTGTGAGTTCCAAGACAGATGCAAGGACTGGCATTCATGCACAGCTTCTAGCAGTTAAATCTGAAGAGTTCTTAGTATGCATGTTGACTGTAATTACTTTAGAAGTAATTTTTCTCCTGGTGATAAAAGGCATGTAAGGCTATTTTAGGAAATTGAAAAATGCAAAAAGGTATAAAGAAAAAGAAAAGATAATCATTAATAGTACGTTAGTAAACAAGATTTGACTAAAGATATGACTTTCCTCCCGCTTGTTTTCTTATGCATATAAAGGGATAGGAAATATGTATGTATGTATGTGTGTGTATAGGATCATGCACTATATATAGCTTGCTTCTTTTTCCACTATGATAATTTTCCCATGTCATGAATTACGGCTTGCAAGTGCTTATTCTTAAAGGGCTGCATTATTTTTCATTATTTGGATTTATTGTTATTTAAATGGAGCTCTATTATTGAACATTTAGATTGCTTCCAAAATTTTTTGCTCTTGTTAATATATTGTAATAAACTTCTGTGAAACACATACTCTTCACCTGCTACTTACATATGACTTCTGTAAGCCGAGACCTCTGTATCCCCAGGACCTAGAAGGTTACCTGGACATAGTAGTTTCTTAATTAAAAAAAATTATTGATTGAATGAAAGAAGACTATTAAATGTTTTAAATGTTCAGTTCTTCTTTTTTTATTCTGATTCCCTGTGTATCCAGAGGCCTCCTATTTGTCTGCATGTATGAGTTTGGCTGTAATGAAAGTATTGGCCATATATGACCATAAACGGGCATTCCTATTTCTGTCACAGTTATATTTGTCATTCTGTATTAATACATCTATACCCTGATTTCTATTGAAGCATGGTTATTTTTGTTTGCTTCTAAGCAATGTAGCTACCCTATTGATGCTGATAAAAATAAATTTCTGAACCTATAAGACTGAGGATTGGGCCTAGGTTGTGGTAAATTGGCAAGATAATGGATACTACCCTGTCAAGAGCCCTCTGAAGAGAAAAGTCTGCCACCCTTCACCAGGTAGAAACTCCTGGCAGTGCCACATTTTCCAGTTTGACGCCCTGTGATACCCTGAAAACACAGATGTTTGACTCTTTTCAAATAATATTTTAACATATTTTAAGATGCAAAGGCATTGTGTCAGACTTTTTTCTTAAGAATGTATTTCATTACCACTCAGAAGTTAGCTTCCAAAAGAAATAAGTGTGTGCAAAGGCTTATGATAGTGGTGTAGAGAAGTTTTTAAAATAAATGTGCATCTTTTATGGTAATAAAAGCACATTATGAAGAATTTTTTAGGTCCAGTACACAGATTCCTTGTGCCTGGGGAAAACTTTATTAGAAAATTAGATCATTTCTAATTTGATTAGGGGAAGTCTAATGGGAAAACTTTTTAACTGAGCGGTCCAATTCAAAACATGAATTTCTGTGCTGGAAGCTTCTATTGAACTTTACTTAAGTCACATCTAAGACCCTCTGCCTGTCAGTCCACCATTACCCTAACAGTGGTAGAAATTCTTTATATGACACCTAGATCTTTTTTTTGTTGCACTTTTAAACTGTGTAGGAAACACACTGCCCACATGTTCATACAACACAGAGTGATTATCCACTTAGTTCCTAAATAGTTGTATTTGGTTATGGGGTTTGATCCCACTTTTCCAGGGTTTAGGTCAGCTACTGAAGATTAGGATATCTGGGTACCTCTTACTGGAGAATCCATTCCTGTTTTCATTTCATTCCTGGGGGTAATATTCAATCTGGTGTGGCCCTCTGTATTATAAAATGTTTCCCAGATTGTGTTTATCTGAAATACAAATCCAAGAAGAAGCATGGTGTTAATTGCCGTGTAAAAAAGATTCCAGAGTGAAGAGCTTGAGATGTTCTATTCCTTCCTTCATAGGTTCAGTTGTTTAACCCAGCATTTTTCAAACATATTTTACTCCTAGAACCTGTTTTTCATCAGACATATTTAAGAAAAAAGCGTTTTGTAGAACACATTTGGACAAATGATACTTTATATCATTACTTTGTTTTTTAAATTTTAGTTTGACTCAATTTTACAGTTTCAGGATTTTGTTTCTGTTTCAGGTTTTAAGCTTTTCTTTTATAAATAGTTACTTTCCTAGTCTGAAATGTATACATTGTTTCAGTAATGAATTCATTATGTAAATTTGCCCATCATTCATCTAAAGGGAATAAATGTTAAATTGTATTTTTAAATTTTGACTTGTGTCACATATGAGAATATAAAGTATATCTGTACAATAAAGGAAAATGAAACATCAAAGTATCTACCTCAGATTAAGAAGCAGAGCTTGGCCAGGCATAGTGGCTCACCCCTGTAATCCCAGCACTTTGGGAGGCAGAAGTGGGAAGATCACTTGAAGCCAGGAGTTGGAGACCAGCTTGTTCAATAAAGGAAGACCTCATCTCTAACAACAACCACAACAGCAAAAAATTAACCAGGCATGGTGGCACATGCTTATAGTCCCAGCTACTGGTGCAGCCTCGAACTCCTGATCTCAAGCTATCTTCCCACCTCAGCCTCATGTTGTAGTGAACTTTGTTATGCAGTGTCTCCTATTCTACATGTGCAGGAGTATTTTTACTGTATGTACCTGGAGTGGAATTGCTTGGTCATTGGGCATGTGTGTGTTCAGCTCTATTGAGTGGCATCATACCGTTCTCCAAAGCAGTTGTACCAATCTACACCCTCACCAGCAGTGAATAGTCTTCCCATTGTTCTTCCTCAATGAAACTAGATATTCACAGCCTTTTAGGTTTTTCCTAGAGTATGAAGTGGCATCTCTTTGGGGTTTTAATGTTTATTTCCCTGATTAGAATTGTAGTTGAGCATCTTTTATTATGTTTATGGACCATTTATGTTTTCTCTTCTGTGAAATTCCTATTCGGGTTTTTTGCTCATTTTAAATGTTGTTGTTTGTGTTTTTCTTATATAGGAACTCTTCACGCATTCAAGATGCACATATGTTGTTCAGAATAGTACCTGAGACATAGAAACAACTTTGTAAGAATAGCTATCATTATATTACCATTGTATTTAATCCTTTGTTTTTATGTGTTACAATTATCTTCTGCTAGTTTGTGGCTTATTTTTCATTCTGTGATGCTAATTTTTTAACCTAGTATTCTATTATTTTAAAAATACACAATCTTGAGTAGTCTACATGTTCATAACCATGACATATTCATGTTGCATGTGTTCTGTGTCATAACCCAGAACTTTCCTTTTTTTTTTTTTGAGATGGAGTTTTGCTTTTGTCAACCAGGCTGCAGCAATGGCGTGATCTTGGCTCACTGCAAACTCTACCTCCTGGGTTCAAGAGATTCTCCTGCCTCAGCCTCCTGAGTAACTGGGATTACAGGCACCTGCCACCATGCCCAGCTAATTTTTGTATTTTTAGTAATGACGTTGTTTCACCATGTTGGCCAGGCTGGTCTCGAAATCCTGACCTCAGGTTATCCGCCCACCTTGGCCTCCCAAAATGTTGAGATTACAGGCATGAGCAGCTGCACATGGCCAACTTTCAGTCTTAAGTACCATTTTTTGCTGCTGTTTCTTTTTTTGAACCCCAGGAAAAAATTAACTCATTTAATCCCCTATTCAAACTGCTACAATTTTATTTTCAGTGTTGTCGCCTGGTTGTAGATGCATTTGTCTCTCCAAATGCACTGTGATTATTTCCAAGACAAAACATGTTTGGCATTGTGATATATATATATATATATATATATATATATATATATATATATATGTATATATATATGTATATATATGTATATAATATATATTGTATAAATATTTATATTTTATATATCATATAAAAATTATATATAAAAAATTATATATATATATATAAATGCCACTTATCCCTAATATAGGGACTCGATTAGTTTCTGCTAGTGTGGGGACAAGTCTTATCATGGCTAGGGGCCACGATGGTAGGAGCAGTCAGAGGATTTCTTGCATTGTGATGAGTGCATATAAGTTAAATGAGCCACTTATCAGTAGATTTGATAGCAGGATAACAGTTATATCACTGATACCTAGGCAGTACATGACACTCGCTAAAGAATAGATTAATCCTCATGCTCTTCATCTTCCTCCTAATCTCTTTACCTGTGCTGCCCTCCAGCTTTCAAAGTGCTCTGAGTCATCACTTACACAGTGTTCCTTAGCTGCCCCTTCAGTGGGCCAGTGTTTCTGTGCCCCAGTGTTCCTGAGAGTTAGAACACAGAAAACAGAGCAGGCTCTTGCCCACATCACAGAACATCTTTGTCTACCTGTGGATCCCGCACATTTGTTCATTAGAGTTCAGGAATTGCCAGAGACTGGCTTTTCTGGCAATGGACACTAGATTCTTCAGAAGAATATTGGTTGAAATCTTCCTGCTGTGACAGTTCCCTGCATGCAGGGCAGGAGTGTGTGCTTCTTCCCAGCAAAGGCAGAGTCAGGGCCTACAGAAACTGTGCCCACAGCCTATAGTGATGGGGTCTATGAGGTAATTCAGGCAAGTGAGGCAGGTGAGTTCTTTCTGGAAGGCTTGTGGGAAGTCTAAGTCCATTTTTCTGAGGGAAGAAAACCAGAAGAATTTATTCTTATGCCATAGAGAGACAAAGATCTACACAAAATTTGAAACAGGTTTTGAGTAGGATCCGCTCACAGGTTTAAATCTATAGCAGGATACGATTTTATTTTGCACATAACAAAATGAAAAACTGAGGCACAGAATTCAAGCTTTGCAGAAAAATGTGTTGGCTCCCTAATCAACACTCACACACACACCTACTTTCCCAAATTCTTTCCTCCTGTATGAAAAAACTTAAGGCTGGGCACGGTGGCTCATGCTTGTAATCCAGCACTTTGGGAGGCTGAGGCAGCAGGATTGCTTGATCCAAGGAGTCCAAGACCAGCCTGGGCAACATGATGAGACCCTGTCTGTACAAAAAGAAAAGGAGGAAAAAATTAGCTGAGCATGCCAATACTCCCAGCTACTAGGGAGGCTGAGGTGAGACGTTTGCTTGAGCCCAGGAGGTTAAGGCAGCAGTGAGCCATAATCCAGCCACTACACTCTAGCCTGAATGACAGAGCAAGACTCTGTCTCAAAAATGAACAAAGAAAGAAAAGAAAGAGAGAGAGAGGGAGGGAGGGAAGGAGGAAGGAAGGAAGGAAGGAAGGAAGGAAGGAAGGAAGGAAGGAAGAAAAGGAAGGAAGGAAGTTTACAGAGTTTTTTGAGGTGTTAGTGTTCCCTAAATTGTATGGTCTTCAGAGTTTACTCTCCTATAGCTTCAAGGGGTGAGTCCTGACTGGTAGGAAAATCAATCACACTCTTACTTGCCAGTGATTCATTTAGGGAAGACAGCTAACTAAGCTCTTCCATTTTGATTATTTCATTTAATTGTAACAACCATCTTATCATGACTTCTTCAAAATTACCCTGCCAGTAAGTGCTGGAGGACTCCCCAGAAGCAGAAACCACCATGCTTCCAGTATAGCCTACGGAACCATTAGCCAACTAAAGGTATTCCTCAGGTATTTCTTTATATCTTCAGCCAAAATTAAAGAGTTAGGCTTTACTCTCCAAGATACTGCAACAGACAAAAACAAGGCACCACTGTTTTCTAATGTTGTTTTCTTGTTAATTCAATCAACAAGTATTTTCTGGTAAGTTTACTGTTCCAGAGACTGTTAACCTGGTGATGCACCGGTTAATAAAACATCCTTAAGAGAAATAAAAGTTTAAAAATAAGCCAGATGATAAAATGCAGTAGTGTACACAATGCCACTTATCCGCATGTCTTCTCTCTGTCACCCATGATCCAGAAAATTTCTTTAGTATAAGCCATTGATAAAGATGCCTGAAAAATTCATGTATAGAAGACATAGTCACAAAATTATTTTTTTCCTTTGATATCCCTTGTTACCTCAAACAGAATTTACCACTCCAATTCTATTTCTGAATACATGGGAGTTAATAGAATACTCCTAATCCATTTATAGGATCTACACTAAGTAAAAAAATTAAAGACATCTGAAAACTATTTTGTAAGTCCTTATAATCCATATCAACAATTATGGAATATATTAAGTAATAGACCAAAAATTAATCATCATATTAACCAAAAACACATAGCAAGACAAGATAACTAAATATTTTCATTTGGAAATTGGGAAATTTAGTCAATTTTAAAACTCAGCAAATGAGATCATTTCACAGAAGCAACCTAGGTTTGCTGGTAAATTAAAATTATGACATTTTGTTTTGGTTTGGGAGGGTAGTTCCTCTTCTGTAAATTGTGTACTCACATAAGAAATATATCTATGTTCTCACAGACACTTGCTGTAGAGGTAATAATATGAAGTTAGCTCAGGGATCAGGGCCTCACAGTGCAGTACTGGTAGTTTTTTTTTGTTTTTTGTTTTTTTGTTTTTTTTTTTTTTTTTTTTTTTTTTGCCCTGCACCTTGAGTAAAAGTTTCCTGAGGCCTCCCCGGAAGCAGAAACCACTATGCTTCCTGTATAGCCTATGGAACGGTGAGCCAACTAAAGGTATTTCTCATGTATTTCTTTATAGCAATGCAAGAACGTACTAATACAGCTAAGCAGAGGCTATCAGGACAAGCAACAGTCTGAGCTGGATGAGAGACAAAGCTAAACTTTGAGCAGCAGCAGGAGCTGCCAGGGAGACAGGAAGGACAGACTCCTAAATTCCAGGATGTCTCCTTTAAGTCTGTAAGAAGCTCAGCCACCGTCTCCTTACCTGACTCCTCTGGGAAAGAGTTTCCCTAGGTTAAGCCATACAGGGATAGGGTAGGAGATGCCATTTGGATCTAGGAGCAGAGGGCAGAGACTCAGCAGGAAGAGTGTCTCTTTGAGAAGGAGACACAGTGGAGCAGGTGTGTAGGTTCACAGGGCCAGCTATGGGTAGAGTCGGGTGTACATTTTTAGAAGCCACAATTCCCAAAAATCTCCTGACTATAACATCAGTGCACAGAGCCAGTCAAATGGAGGAGGAGTGGGTCCAGGCAATTCAGGAAGAAGGAAAGTAACAAATGAGTGGTTGCAGGAGGACACTTTTTCTGTCGAGGTCACTAAACAAAACATTGTCTCCTCCCCTTAACTTCAGAAACAATGGAGGGTAAAAGTGTTGCCTGGGCCCTGGGGGCAAAGGCAGTAGATAACTTCTCTGTCGTGTTCTCCAGAAGGGCCCATTCCAGCCTCACAGGCCGAGAAGTCTGTTCGGTTCCCAAGTACTAGAGATGCTGCTATAAGGGACTCCCGAATTTCCTTCCTGAACCAGAGGTTGCCCAGCCTTTTCTTCCTGTTTTATTTTTTCCCAGGAAGAAACTTGCCTATACAATTACAAGGTTCTATGGTTCTAAATTCCAATCTAGTCTTCCACATCATTTTGAAGGTATAATATTACTTGTCAAAGTGGGATGTTAGAAGATATGTGTGGACATAAATTGTTGACAAGGAAAAAAAATAAAATAAGACAATAAGAGAGAAAAAATATATGTATGTACAGTGGTTAGCTAGAAATATGCCTTTTAAATATTTGGCATGTGGTATGTGGGCCTCAATGTGTACTATTGCACTAGCTTCCCAAATATTAAAGGATGTCTTTTAAAAGAAAAACCTCTTGCTAAAAGGTTAACAGTTAAAATAACCAGAGTGGCAGAGGTACCAGTCATTAAGTGAAACCTTTCGTCTTCCCAGAATAGTACCTGTTCCCAAGCCAGCTTCTTTGAAAATCACTTTTCTCTCCTTTACTATTTAGATTACAGTTTGTATAGTAACAATACAGAAACCACAATAGTAGCAAAAAAATAAAGAATATTTTTAAATGAAAACTCACATCCTAACTCTACCAAAACATGAAAATTAAACCTGAATGCCTCCCATTCCTGATATATTCTTCACCTAAATATTCAGCTCTGGGATTGCATTGTTTTTGGATTGAGTGGAAATTATTGCCTGGTCTTGAAATCTTCCGTAATGTGTGTGTGTGTGTGCGTGTGTGCGTGTGTGCGTGTGTGTGTGTGTATGTATGTATGTGTGGTGAATATATTTCTTTTTGTTCAGAGCAAGCATTTTTTCAATATGTATATTTATTCCAGACAGATTATGCTAGTAATTTTCTACAAATGTGCTTTTTAAAAAATAACCTTTAATTTAAAAAAAAATATTCTTACTCAGTGGCCCACAATTGTTAAAAACGCTACTAATGGAGCTGGCTTTGGTGACACACACCTGTCATCCCAGCTACTTGGGAGACTGAGGCAGGGGTATTGCTTAAACTTGGGAATGTGAAACCAGCCTGGGCAACATAGTGAGATCCCAATCTCAAAAATCAATCAATCATTAAAAAATAAAATAAAATAAAACACTACTAATAGCTTTTTAAAAAATAGTTCTTAACCAATTTTCCTAGCACCTTCCTTTCCTCAGTGAAGTATAGAAATATGTGGTCAGGCACTGTGGCTCACACCTATAATCCCAATAATTTGGGAAGCCAAGGCATGAGGCTCAGTTGATTCCAGGAGTTCAAGACTAGCCAGGGTGATATAATGAGACTTGGTCTCTAACAATATCTTTTTTTTCTTTAATTACCAGGGCATGATGGTGCATGCCTGTAGCCCAGCTACTTGGAAGGCTGAGGTAGGAGAATCACTTGAGCCCAGGAGGTCAAGGCTGCAGTGAGCCATGGTTGCACCACTGCACTCCATACCTGGGTGACAGAGTGAGACACAGTATCAAAAACAAACAACAACAAAAAGTATTTGTTTTAGAAAAAACATTTGGTGAGGTTTGGGCTTAAAAATATATTATTCTAAAATATTCATAAATATTCTCTAGTAATAAGATTAAAGTGACAAAGACAAACTTTTTTCCTGTGCAGTTCCATCTCTCACCTTCCCGTAATTTGTCTGTCCCATCCAGCTTCCAAAGGAAATTATTTACAAAATAATGTCTGCATCCTGGGTCTATATATCTATTGCCTATGAGGAGAACATTTAAGATCTGAGCCATTGTCAAGTCTTATACTTTGTGCATAGCTCTCATGTTTTTGCAGGTTAAGTAAGTTTGTATACCCTTTCTTTTATTAATCTGTGTATGGTCAGTTCATTTCGGGTAATCTTCAGAGGGTGAAAGGGGAAGCTTTTCACTTCACTCCTACTGTGACAACTATCTACCTTCTTACTTATTCAATTTTTTAGTCTACATAAACACTTTTATATACATTTACTTTTAAACAAAATTTTGCATCATTACACTTAAAATTTTATTTACCTTTTAAAAAGGAAATTAAAAATAAAATTAAAAATTATAAACTTTTACATAATAAAAATAAAATTAATGATTTATATAAAAATTAATCTGACCTGTGAAAAACACTATCCAGAGGCCAGGCGTGGTGGCTAACGCTTGTAATCCCAGCACTTTGGGAGGCCGAGGTGGTTGGATCACAAGATCAGGCGATCTAGACCACGATGAAACCCCTCTCTACCAAAAATGCAAAAAATTAGCCGGGCGTAGTGGCAGGCGCCTGTAGTCCCAGCCACTCGGAGAGGCTGAGGCAGGAGAATGGCGTGAATCCAGGAGGCGGAGATTGCAGTGAGCCGAGATCGTGCCACTGCAATCCAGCCTGGGTGACAGAGCCAGACTCTGTCAAAAAAAAAAAAGAAAAAGAAAAACACTATCGAGAGAATAAAAAGACAAATCACAGACTGGGAGTAAAAATTTACAAAAGCTATATCTGGTGAAGACACATTTGTTATCCAAAATATACAAAGAACTCTCAGGACTCAATAATAGGAAAACAAATAGTCTAACACAAATGTAGAGATCTGAACAGACATTTCAACATAGAATACAGATGGATGATACGTAAGCACATTGAAAGATATTCAACATCATTCATCATTAGGGAAATGTAAATTAAAACCACAATGAGATACTGCTACATGCCTATTAGAATAGCTAAAAGTTAAAAGACTGACCATACTAAACACTGGTGAGAACACAAAGGAACAGGAATGCTCATACACTGCTGCTGGAAATACAGCCACTTTGTCAGTTTCTTTAAAAGTTAAACTGGCCGGGAGTGGTGGCTCATGCCTGTAATCCCAGCACTTTGGGAGGCCAAGGCGGGTGGATCACGAGGTCGGGAAATCGAGACCATCCTAGCTAACACGGTGAAACCCCGTATCTACTAAAAATACAAAAAATTAGCCGGGCGTGGTGGTGAGCGCCTGTAATCCCAGCTACTCGGGAGGCTGAGGGAGGAGAATAGCGTGAACCCGGGAGGCGGAGCTTGCAGTGAGCCGCGATGCACCACTGCACTCCAGCCTGGGCGACAGAGCAAGACTCCATCTCAAAAAAAAAAAAAAGTTAAACATATCACACCACCTAGTCGTTCAAATCCTGCTTATTTGCCCAAGACAAATGAAAGCGTATGTACAAACGATTGGACAAACATTCGTAGCAACTTTATTTGAAATAGTAAAAACAACTGGAAGCAAACCAAATGTCCATCAAGAGGTGAATAGATACACTAACTGTAGAATATCCATACAATAAAACTATTTTTTTTAAACTACGGGGCAAAAAACAAAAAAACCAAAGATAGAATCTAACTTCTTGGTAAATACATTCACTATTAGGGTTTTTATAACAGAGAAGTCATTCTTTATTAACACTCTTTTGACTGTGAAAATATTTTGACATCAAAAATCTGCAAAATATGAAGAAACAAAGGACACACAGCTTTTTCTATTTTTTATTTTTATTTTATTTTTATTTTTTTGAGAAGGAGTCTCTTTCTGTCACCCAGGCTGGAGTGCAGTGGCGCGATCTCGGCTCACAGCAAGCTGTGCCTCCCGGTTCACGCCATTCTCCTACCTCAGTCTCCCGAATAGCTGGGACTACAGGCACCCGCCACCAAGCCCGGCTAATTTTTTGTATTTTTAGTAGAGACGGGGTTTCACCGTTAGCCAGGATGGTCTCGATCTCCTGAACTCGTGATCTGCCCGCCTCGGCCTCTCGAAGTGCTGGGATTACAGGCGTGAGCCACCGCCCCTGGCCCCAGGACACACAGCTTTAAAATTTCTCGTTGGTCTCACCCAGTGCAAACCACCTAAAACCTCTCATTTTCCCCCAGACATTTCTTCTGCCTCCAGGATGGAGGTAGAGAATCTTGGCCTTGGGCCACGCACTGGGGACCATGCTGGGCTGCCATGGTCAGTGACGGACTCAGGTTCTCACCAGGATCCCCAAAATAGGCCCCTGAAAAAAATGTTACCATCAGGGTGCGCTCCCTGATTCTTGTGTCTGCTGGAAGGAAGAAATCAAGCCAGGAACATTGTGAGGATAGAGATGAAAATGGGGCTCACTTTTCTGTCTCTTGTGATGTCAGACAAGCCTTTCAGCTCTGTCGCCTCAGCCCTCATGGAATTGTTTGGTGTGGACCCACCGAGATTCTGAACTGAGTCCCCTTTCCCTCTGCCCTTCTCTGGGGCCAGATTCTGAGCTCTCCATTCCAATTTTTCCCCCAATTTGCCCTTGCATTTATTTATCTGGATTACTGTCTAACTGTCCCAAAGAATAAAAGCTTTATCACAGTGGGGATTTTGTTTAAAAAAAAATAATAACAGCTATATTTTTAGGATCCATGACACTGTCCAGCATATCAGTGGTATCTGATAAAAAATGTTTATTGACTGAATGAACAAATATATTATTCACAATTCACATTATCCTGAACTGGCTAGAAAATTAAATATCTGATATCAGTATTGGCAGCATTATGAAGTAAATATAATTCTGATACAGTGCTCGTGAAAGTCTAATATGAAATGCTCATTTTAGAAAACATTTTCTTGTAGATTTGAAAATGTTTCATCTCCATGAACTAGTTGTATATCTGCAAGTTGTGTATCTTTGGGTTAGGCAGAATAATTGCCCCCCACCAAAGACAGCCACATCCCAGTCTTCAGATAAGGTGAACATGCTAACGTAAGTTAGCATGTTCAAAGGGACTTGGCAGATGTGATTACCATTAAGGGCATTGAAATGGGGAAATTTCCTTGAATTACCTTGGTGAGCCAATCTAATCTCATAATTCCTTGAGAGCAGAGGATATTTTCTGGATGCTGAGATTCAGACAGATGGCAGTATGAGAAAGATGTGGCCTGCTATTACTGGCTTTTAAAACAGTGGTAGGGGGCCACAAGCCAAGGAAAGCCAGTGACCTTTAGAAGCTGGGAATGACCCAAAGTTTACAACCAGGAAGAAACTGAGGATCTACAACCACAAGGAACTGAATTCTGCCAACAACCCAGATGCTCTTTTAGAGCCTTCAGAAAGAAATGCAGCCTGCCAACATCTTGATGTTAGTTCAGTGAGAGCCATGCCAGATTTCCAACCAAAACAATTCCAAGACAATAAGTTTGTGTTTTTTAAAACTGACTCAAATCTTACAAAAATGTGTTCTTTTAAGCCACTGAATTTGTGGTAAATTGTTACAGCAGGAATAGAAAACTGATACAACCCTAGAGAAAGTCTTGTACATGTGCCCTATAAACACACAGCAGAATTTTTTTTAACTTTTTATTGAGTTAAAATATATATATATAATTTACCATCTGTACATTTTTAGAGGACAGTTTAGTAGTGATAAATACATTTATATTTTCTTCTCTTAATCTCCTCTTCCCACTCCCCTTGCTGGCCTCTAGCAACCACCAATTTACTTTCTATCTTCATGAGATCCACTTTTTTACTGCCCACATATGAGTGACAACATGTAGTATTTGCCTTTCTGTGCTTAGTTCATTCCACTTGACATAATGGCCTATGTTCATTACATTAAGCCAAGTGGCCAGCGCCACCTATATTGCTGCAAATGACAGAATTTCATTCTTCTTTGTATCTGAGTAGTATTCCATTATGT
The DNA here is from genome assembly GCF_000001405.40 of Homo sapiens. Lineage (NCBI taxonomy): Eukaryota > Metazoa > Chordata > Mammalia > Primates > Hominidae > Homo > Homo sapiens. Next base: position 10,666,454 of record NC_000022.11, read on the forward strand.
ATGTATTTGACTTTTAAAATCTATTCATTTTTTGATGAGCACTTACGTTGATTCCATATTTTGTCTATTGTGAATAGTGCTGCAGTACACATCGGCATGTAGATATGTCTTTGATACATTAATTTCCTTTATTTTGGATATATATCCAGTAAAGAAATTGCTGGACCACATGGTAGTTCTATTTTTACTTTTTTGAGGAATCTCCATACTGTTCTCCATAGTGGCTTTATTAATGTAGATTCCCACCAACAGTGTACTAGTATTTCCTTTTCTCCACATCCTTGCCAGCATCTGTTATTGCCTGTCTTTTTGAAACAAGTCATTTTAACCAAGGTGAGATGATATTGCATTGTGATTTTGATTTGCATTTCTTTGACGATTAGTGATATTGAACATTTTTTCACCTTCCTATTGGCCATTTGTATATCTTCTTTTGAGAAAATATCTGTTCAGATCTTTTGCCCATTTTTAAATTGTATTTATTTATATATTTTTAACTATTTTTTTTCAGAATCAAGGTCTTGCTTTGTCACCCAAGCTAAAGGGCAGTAGCATCATCATAGCTGACTGTAACCTCAAACTCCTGGGATTAAGAAATCCTCCTGACCGGGCGCGGTGGCTCACGCCTGTATTCCCAGCACTTTGGGAGGCCGAGGCGGGCAGATCACGAGGTCAGGCGATCGAGAACATCCTGGCTAACATGGTGAAACCCCGTCTCTACTAAAAATACAAAAAATTAGCCGGGCTTGGTGCCGGGCACCTGTAGTCCCAGCTACTCAGGAGGCTGAGGCAGGAGAATGGCGTGAACCCCGGGGGAGCAGAGCCTGCAGTGAGCCGAGATCGCGCCACTGCACTCCAGCCTGGGCGACAGCGAGATTCCATCTCAAAAAAAAAAAAAAAAGAAATCCTCCTACCTCAGCCTCTTCAGTAGCCCATTTTTCAATCAGATTTTTTGTTTGTTTATTATTGAGTTGTCTGAGCTCCTTATATATTCTACTTCTTAATCCTTTTTCCGATAGATAGTTTGAAAATATTTTGTCCCATTCTGTGGTTGGCTCTTCACTTTGTTGATTGTTTCCTTTGCTTGAGGCTTTTTAGTTTGATATAATCCTATTGTCTATATTTGCTTTTGTTGCCTGTGCTTCCGAGGTCTTACGCAAAAAAATCTTTGCCCAGACTAATGTCCTGGAGCATTTCTCCTATGCTTTCTTTTTCTCTTTCTCTTTTTTTTTTTTTTCACGCCATTCTCCTGCCTCAGCCTCCCGAGTAGCTGGGACTCCAGGCGCCCACCATCATGCCCCGCTATTTTTTTTTTTTGTATTTTTAGTAGAGACGGAGTTTCACCGTGTTAGCCAGGGTGGTCTCGATCTCCTGACCTTGTGATCCGCCCGCCTTGGCCTCCCAAAGTGCTGAGATTACAGACGTGAGCCACCGCGCCCGGCCTTTCCTATGCTTTTTTTTTTTTTTTTTTTACTAGCTTCATAGTTTCAGGTATCAGATTCAAGTCTTTAATCCATTTTTATTTGATTTGATTTTTGTGTATGGTAAGATGGGTTTAATTTTATCCTTCTGCATATGGTTATTCAGTTTTCCCAGGATCATTTATTGAAAAGACTGTTGTTTTCCCAGTGTATGTTCTTGATGCCTTTGTCAGAGATGAGTTGTTTGTAAATGTGTAGATTTGTCTGCGATGTCTATTCTGTTCCACTGTCCTATGTGTCTGTTTTTATGCCAGTAGAAATACATTGGCAATAATTAGTACAGAAAAGCTGAAACAATGAAATGACAAAAGTGAATTATACTGATATAATTCATTATGCTCACTAAATGCAATAGCATACAGCTAGGAAAACAATGTAGTGCACACAGTATTAAAATACAACACAATTCAGTATACACAGTGCTCAGTGGCCATCGTTAGAGTGTTGAAGAAGGGGATGTAGTCAGCAAAAGTTGTACAGGTGACTTCAAAAGTAATCATAAGCACTTATGATTACTTTTGGCTTAATTTCTTAAATCAAGACTGGAGACACAGGTGTTCATTATGTGCTTATTATATATATAAAATACATATTTTATAAATATATTGTTTCTATTCAGTATTTAATAAAGTAAATCAATAGAAAAGGTTAAAAAGCTATGCACACATATTTCAAATATTTTTTGCTCCAAATTATATAAACATTGCATAGTTATTGCCCTGGGCCTGGCAAGGTGACTCACACCTCTCATCCTAGTACTTTAGGAGACTGAGGCAGGAGGATAGCTTCAGCCCCAGAGGTCAAGGCTGCAGTGAGCCTTAATTGCACTACTGCACTCCAGCCTAGGTGACAGAGCAAGATGCTGTCTGAAGATAAAAATAAAAATAAGTTAATAAATAAATATATGTTTATATATTAACTGATTTTATTAACTATATATATATATATATATATATATAGTTGTTTTCTTGGTCTATAGGCAATCTTACAGTGCTTAAGACTTTGATACTGAGAACAGATCTCCTAGGTATATGCTGTGTTTCTGGGGTGACATGATGCTCTCATCTGGCCTCCGTGAGCCTAATTCTATCTTACATTTACACCACTCTTCAACAACCACTTGGGGAGGTGTCCCTAAACATTCCTAGGTGAACCCAAACCTGTGGCCCTCAACACATTTCTAGGTAAAGCAAGCTCCTGACATATCTGTGGATATCCTCTCATTGGAAGAAGGGGGAAGGGACCATCTCAAAATAATTCATTTAATATAGCTTTTCAGCATTAATTTTATTTTGATAAAGAGACACACAGTAAATAACATTTCTAAAAAACTATAAACTTTCAAGCATTCTCACGCTAAATCTAGCCCTGCTCACATGACAGGGAAATATAAAGGTAATCTGTTTCTCATCCTGTCCAGGAGGCTACAGTAATTAAAAATAAACTCAATCCCTAGATCCCTACCAAAGGGACATTTCATATGGATCAAAGTTCTGGAAAAATTATTTGTCTGGAAGCAGACTAAATCTCCAAAATATAATTGAAATAACAGCCTCTGGAAAGGGCCAAATACGACTCTTAATGATACAACAGCTAAATATAAGTCTGATGCTCATTCCGTGTGGACAACAATAGCAGCCATTCCCACAAATGGCTGATTTGTGGGAAGTAAACACTACTTTTGCAGAATCTTACATGATTTTAGTAGAAGGGCAAGGACATTTCAGTTGGGAACAGATTGCTCCATGGTAATGTGATCACTATGTACCCAACAATGGCTCTTTCTTCCAAGCGTCAATGCAGATGTTATTTTCACCTTAATTATTATCATTGCTGTTTCTAACCACATAAAAGTGTATCCTTTATATATCTGAAGTAAATTCATACTAGTGGTGTAACATCTCCAGCCATTTAAGTGTAAAAATAGAAAGCGTATGATGTGTTTACTTACTGTTTTATACTACTAACGCATGAAGAGAAGATCCTTTTATTCATTGCCTATACTTTTATTTCTAAACTTTCTGTAACACTTTATCTTATATCCAGCATAGAATTGAGATTTGCTTTTTGATTTAATCTGACAATATTTTTTCCTCTAATAAGCGTCATGCCCACTTACTTTTAATGATAAATTGTGTTTGGTTATATTTTGATTACAGTATATTATGCTATGATTTATATGCACATATCTGTCTTTTGCTGTCTTGTTTGTTTTTATTGCTTTTGTTTTGATGTTGTGATATTTGGAAGAGTTAAACTTTTATTCTGATGGCTACCTTATGGAATTTCATAAAATCATCTCTTTCTTTAGACAGTAGCTAATGTCTCTAAACTAAGAACAATGGTATTAGCTGTATTCTCTTTCTTGTCCTCCCTATGTGATTTTTCATCCCACAATTTGATTTAATCATATTAACTTTGTTTCCCCTGGTGCCACTAAGTATGCTTACATTTCTATAAACAATATCCTTTGACTCCCAGGCATTACAGATGAGCAGTCAGTAAAATCATTCTGAGGAATACTTTCTCTTTCCTTTTCTTCCATTTTTCTTAGTTGTATCATTTCTATATTGCCAGAGCACCTACAGTTGCATTTCTTTCTGTCAGCTTTATCCAGCATTTGTTTTTGTCTTTTATTTGAAGTTAAATATATTCCTTGCTCACTACAACACTGGGGGAAGGAAGGTTTCTGTTGTCATTGTTGTGCTTGTACAGTTGTTTATTTAAAAACATTGGCGAAAACAAAAACTGTATGTAGATAGAATGGAGATAAGGCAGCAAATGAGAGAGACTGATGATGAGTGTGCCTATTCTAGACTGGGAGGTGTGCTACACTGAGTAGTGTCTCAAGGCCGCAGGAAAGGATGGTTGATTGCGAGCAGGTGGACTTTCTACTGGAGGAGAGAAGTCCTGCGCTCAACAACCTGTGCAGAACCAGAAACTGGTAATGCTTCAAATCAACTTACAGACCTGGAGGTAGAAATTTAAGAAAACTCGTTTAGCACCTAGTTACCTAGAAAATATTAGCAACTATTTGCTGAGCATCTATCAGTCTGTCTGTAGCATGGAAGACCTGAGTACAGGGAAACTGGATTAGTAACCGTGGGTCAGAAAATTATATAATATTCAACCAAAATTCCTGCTTTACATACACAGCACCTGGTATTTCCAGAACTAGAAGGTAAAGAAATTATTCGTGCTTGAACTTGCAGAAAACTGCCTTTTCCCTTCTTCTCTTGCATCTTAACCTGGAGCTTCCCTTTTCTTGAGCCTCAGTGTGCTTCCCAACTCAATTTATAGTTGACTTCCTGCAGTTTCTCTTTAGGACAGGGCTTTGTTTTGGGGGTGGTTAATTTGTAGGGTTCATAGGAAACAGACCACTCACAGCACCTGCTTTTTGCCATCCTCACCCTCAGCTATGAGTTGAGGCCCAGGAAGCCTTCTGTCAGCCTCAGCTGCTGTTCTCAGATTAATCTGCTGAGTTCTTTTTGCCTAGTAAGAATCTCTGAATTTAGGAACATAGATGTTAGCGCTTGTATTTCTAGGTTTTCCAGTTCCCAGGGCCATTAAACATTTTTTTCTTTCCTTTCCTTCTTCCAAAAAAATTGGTGATTCGCCTGGGTCCCTGTGGTTTAACCCCACAAAAGGGCCATGATGACACCCTGTTACATTGTTTTGTCATAGTTAATACCTTGTTATCCCAGTTGCTCAGTCAGTTTTGTGAGAGATTCAGGGATATTAATAAAACTGTGCTGCTGCTGCTACTAACACCTTGCATAAAAGCCCTATTAATTAAAATGATTATTTTGCATGTGATTTGAACTTGTAATTTTTATTCAAAGTTTTTCAACAGAGATCCAGAAAAGACCCTAGTTATATTTTTAGTTTTGTGCATTGCAACACTTTTTAGTGAAAAAAAAAATACATGAGAACAACACAAGTGATTTTAAAAGAATAAACCTACAATCCATTAATTATAAAATGAAATACTATGCAGGTGATAAGAATGAGGGAATCAACAAGAACTTGTGTGGGGTAACTATAAACTTTAAAAAAAAATTAATGCTCATGTGACCATATTATCGTTAAAAAAAAATACAAGCATACTTGCACACACCTTCAAGCAAAATGGGTACACGCATTTAAAAATATTTAAATTAAGTAAATGGCCCAGTAATTTAACTTTGTATAATTCTATGTTCTCTGATTATTTTATATGCTAGAAACAGGCATTACTGTTTTGTCTATTTCATTTGAAATAATTGTAGTCACATGAGGTTTGTTATAATACAGAGAGGTCACATATGCCTATTTTCTAATTGGATACCTTATTTATTACTATTGAGTTTTGAGAATTTTTTACATATGCTAGATGTAAGTTCTTTGTCAGATATATGGTATGCAAATTATTTCTCCCAGTCTGTAATTCATTTTTTCAACCTCTTTACAGGGTCTTTCTAAGTAAAAAAAAAAAAAAAAAAAAAAAAAAAAAAAAAGTGTTTATTTATTTTAATGAAGTCCAGTTTTATCACTTTTTCCTTTTGTAGATTTTGTTATCAACATCAAGCCTAAAAATTATTTGCCTAGCCCAAGGTCTCAAGAGTTTTCTTCTATTTTAAAAAGTTTAATGAATTTATTTATTTATTAATTATTTTTGAGACGAGGTTTCGCCCAAGCTGTAGGGCAATGGTGTCATCATTGCTCACTGCAGCCACTAACTGCTGGATTGAAGTGATCCTTCCACCTCAGCCACTTGAGTAGTAGCTGAGATTACAGGCACGAGCTACCATACACAACTTTAAGTTTTATAATATTGCATTTTACATTTAAGCCTGTGATTTATGTGAGCTAAATTTTATATAAAGTATAAATTTAGGTCAGTCTTAGTTTTTGTACCTGTGAATGTCCAATTGCTCTAGCACCATTTGTTGAAAAAGATATCCTTCCTTTAAACTGATTTTGCATCCTTGTAAAAAAAAAAATCAGTTGAATATAGTGTGGTCTGTCACCTTTTAATAAGATAAAAACATTGGCACTCACAAGATATCGAAGTTTAGAAATTTTTTTAAAGCTAAACTTCTGAAGATAGAATAAAAACACCTTCACATGTCAAATTAGTCAATTTGTATAGGACTAATTCATTTAAATATATTAAAATACAAAATAATTCAAACCACTAAAGTGATAATACAAGACTATAAATTTAAAGACTAATTATTAAGTCAAATTGCTGTATTCTACGTGTTAGAGTGAGTTCAAAAGATCCATTGTATTACTGTATAGGCAAAAGTTTTAATTTCAGAGGATGAAACTGATATATTACTGCCACCTTGTGGATATTCTGTTATTACAGGCTATTATAAAAAGCAATGAGGGTATGTAATCTGTTCTAACAAGAAGCGTTTCCTTTTTTTGTCGTTTTTATTATTGTTATTATTACGTTTTAAGTTCTGAGATACATGTACAGAACGTGGAGGTTTGTTACGTAGGTATACACATGCCATGGTGGTTTACTGCACCCATCAACCCATCATCTACATCAGGTATTTCTCCTAATGCTATCACTCCCCCAGTCTCCCACCCCCCTGACAGGCCCCGGTATGTAATGTTCCCCTCCCTGTGTCCATGTGTTCTCATTGTTCAACCCAATAGAAAAACAGAAGCATTTTCTGCTTTCCCAATATCTTTTTTTTTTTTTTTTTTTTTTTTTGAGACGGAGTCTCGCTCTGTGGCTCAGACGGGAGTGCAGTGGCGCAATCTCAGCTCACTGCAAGCTCCGTCTCCCGGGTTCACGCCGTTCTCCTGCCTCAGCCTCCCGAGTAGCTGGGACTACAGGCGCCCGCCATCACGCCCGGCTAATTTTTTTTGTATTTTTAGTAGAGACGGGGTTTCACCGTGTTAGCCAGGATGGTCTCGATCTCCTGACCTCGTGATCCGCCCGCCTCGGCCTCCCAAAGTGCTGGGATTACAAGCGTGAGCCACCGCGCCCGGCCCTGCTTTCCCAATTTCTTAAATACAATGCAACTTTATGTTTAATTTAACTAACTTAATTTTTTGAGACAAGGTCTAGCTCTGTTGCCCAGGCTGGAGTGGAGTGGTGTGAATATGGTTCAGTGAAACCTCCACCTCCCTGGCTCAAGTGATCCTCCTTCGTAAGCCTCTCGAGTAGCTAGGACTACAGGCACGCACCACCATGGCCAGCTAATTTCTTTTTTATTTTTTATAGAGATGAGGTCTCACTTTGTTGTCCATGCTGGTCTCAAATTCCTGGGCTCAAAGGATCCTCTTGCCATGGCCTTCCACAGCGCTGGGATTTATAGGTGTGTGTCATGGCACCAGGCCTAAGCAACTGTAGAGAAGCCTTTTTTTCTTTCATAAAAACAGTTGTAGATATTTTCCTTATGGAATTTATTTGTGGTGAAATATTTTAATAGACAGTTTAATTTGTTAAATAATTTGTCTCAGATAATAATAATTGATTAATATTAAAACTACAAAACAAGTAGGGTCTTCTTTTTCTATGAAAAATGAAAGTTGATTCTGACATTTATGTAAACATTTTAAATATTCAAAGTATATAAATGTGAAGTCCTATCAAGAGTAATTAGACAAGAGAAAGAAATAAAGGGCATTCAGATCGGAAAGGAGGACATCAAATTGTTCCTATTTGCAGATGACATGATCTTATATATAGGAAAACCTGAAGACTCTACCAGAAAACTTTTAGAACAAACAAATTCAATGAAGTTGCAAGACACAAAACTAATACACAAAGATTGGTTGCATTTATATTTATGAACAACAAACTCGCTGAAAAAGAAATTAAGAAGGCAAACCCATTTACAATACTTACCAAAAATAACCCAGACATAAATGTAACCAAGGAGGTAAAATGAAAACTACAAAACACTAATGAAAGAAATTGAAGAGGATACAAACAAATGAAAAGACATTCACACTCATGGATCAGAAATATGAATGTTGTTAAAGTGACAGTACTACTCAAAAGTAACCTACAGTTTCAATGCAATCTCTATCAAAATACCTATGAACATTCTTCACAAAATTAAAAAAAATCCAAAGAGATTTTATGGAATCAAAAAATATCCTGAATAGCCAAAGCCATCCTAAGCAAAAAGAACAAAGCTGGATGTATCATGCTACCAGACCTCAGAATATACTACAAAACTGTAGTAACCAAAACATCATGGTATTGGCATAAAAACAGACACATAGACCTATGGAATAGAATAAAGAACCCAGAAAATCCACACATCTCAGCCAACGGATTTTTTACAAAGATGCCAAGAACACTCATTGGGGAAAGGATAGTCTCTTCAATAAATGGTGCTGGAAAAACTGTATATCCATATGCAGAAGAATGAAACTAGACCTCTGCCTCTCACCCTATACAAAAATCAACTCAAAGTATCTCAAATACCCAAATTTAAGACCCAAAATGGTAAAGCTACTAGAAGAAAACATAGGGGAGATCCTTCAGGACATTGCTCTGGGAAAATATTTTATGAATAAAGCATCAAAAGCACAGGCAACAAAAGAAAAAATAAACAAATGGGATCACATCAAGCTAAAAATCTTCTGCACAGCAAAGGAAATAATAAAGTGAGTGAAAAGACAACCTACAGAATGGGAGAAAATATAAACTCATCTGGCAGGAAATTAATATCAAGAATATACAAGGAATTCAAACATAACAACAGCAAGGAAGCACAACAATCTAATTAAATATAAACAAATGCTCTGAACAGACATTTCTCAAAAGAAGACATACAAATGACCAACAAATATATGAAAAAATGTTCAACACCACTAATCAGCAAGGAAATGCTAATCAAAGCCACAGTGAGGCATCATCTTACTCCAGTTAGGATGGCTATTATAGAAGAGACAAAAATAACAAATGCTGACAAAGACGTGAAGAAAAGGGACATTTTTTTTGACAGAATCTCACTCTCCGTCCAGGCTGGAGTGCAGTGGTGGTGTAATCTGGCTCCCTCTGCTTCTAGGGTTCAAATAGTTCTCCTCCCTCAGCCTCCTGAGTAGCTGGAGAAAAAGGAACTCTTATGCACTGTTGGTAGGAATGTAAATTAGTGCAGCCCGTATGGAGAACAGTATTGAAACACCTCAAGCAATCCCACTACTGGGAATTTATCCAAAGGAAAGAAAAGCATTATATTGCAGAGACATCTGCATCCCCATGTTTATTGCAACAGTGTTCACAATAGCCAAGATATGGAATCAACCTAGGTTTCCAACAACAGATGAATGGATTTTTAAAATATGGTATATATACACCACGGAATGCTATTTAGCCATAAAAAAGTATAAATAAAATCCTGTCATTCTCAGCAACATGGATGGAACTGGAGGATATTATGTTAAGCAAAATAAGCCAGGAATAGAAATTTCAACACCACATGTTCTCACTCACGCAGAAGCTAAAAAAAAGTTGATCTCATAGAAGTAAAAAGTAGAACAGAGGATAATGCAGGCTGAAAAGGGTAGGGAGAAAGGAGGAATAGTAAGAGATTTGTTAATGGATACAAAATTACAGCTAGGTAGGAGTAATACGTTCTAGTGTTCTATAGTACTGTAGATGACTATAGTTAACAATACTATATTATGTAGTTTAAAATACCTAGGAGTAGTTTGAATATTCCCAACACAAAGAAATAATAAATGTTTGACATGATAGATATGCTAATTACCCTGATCTGATCACCATCTACATGTACTGAAACATCCCCGTATAGCCATGAATATGTATAATCTTTGTCAATTTAAAAAGTAAAAAAAAAATAATTAATCTTGGAGAATGCATTTGAAGGACTTGTACTCAAGAAATCAACTTAAGAACCTCAGTCTCCTTGGAATTTGTGTTTTCTAGACCAGTACTTCTCCAAATTAAAGCAAATTTAGGCTAGGCATGGTGGCCCATGTCTATAATCTGAGCACTTTGGAAGGCCGAGGCGGGCAGATCACTTGATGTCAGGAGTTCGAGACCAGCTGACCCAACATTGTGAAACACTGTCTCTACTAAAAATACAAAAATTAGCTGGGCATGATGGCATGTGCCTGTAATCCCAGCTACTTTGGAGGCCGAGGCAAGATAATCACTTGAACTGGAGAGGTGGAAGTTGCAGTGAGCCGAGATTGCACCACTGCGCTCCAGCCTGGGCAACAGAGCAAGACTCTGTCTCAAAAAAAAAAAAAAAAAAGCGAATTTAGTTCACTTTGGTATTGTGTCAAAATGTTGATTCTTTTAAAGTAAATCTAAAGAATTTAGATGTAGTTGAAGCTTGTCATCTGTTCTTAATTTTTTTAATAAAAATATAATATTTCGATTCAGAGTAAATCTAAAGTGAGACCTGAAGCTGCTCCCAGGTGATACTGATGCTGCTTATTTTTGCCCAGATTTTGAGTCACAAGGTCCTAAATTATTGGTTTGAAGTCCTACATGAGTAATCACTTGGGGAGCTCAATTAACACCCAGCAACAGACTAATTATTAATAAACCAGAATCTTCAGTATTAGTCTTCAATCATTGGCAATTTTTTTTTGACACACAGTCTCCCACTGTCTCCCAGGCTGAAGTCCTGAGGCCAGAATGAGACTAGGACATGGTTCCTTTGCCTAAGTAAAGTGAGGCAGACAATGGAATACTTCAGACTTCAAATTAGTATGGTAAGTGCTATGAAGAGTATGATTAGAGTTCATTACTTACCCAGAAAAGGGTCACTCAGCCCAGCCTGGGAGTTAGAGAAGGTTTCCTGAAGTCTTGACATGTGAGTCATGAAAGGACATAAGGAGTTAAACACGTGACAAAATAAGCTAAGAGAATTCTCAACAAAAGACAAAATATTGGCAAAGGCTTTTAGGCATATACTATCTTAGTATTATTGGGAGAATGTAATGACTTTCTGTATTTCAAAAGTGTAAAATACAAAGTGGGCCATGGTATGAGATAAACCAGTAAATATGTTCTGGGAACATGTCATAGAAGGGCGTGTATGCTGTCCTAAGGAGCTTAAACTTCAACTTCAGTTCATGGGAGCCAATGACAAGATCTGAGCAGGGGAAGGATGTGGCTAGAGGGGCATTTTAGACAGACAAGATCCTCTGTGGATTACACCTAGGCTAAGCAACGGGTTAAAGTTGTTGTCTTAAGACAATAGTCCAGGTAAAAGATAATAAAGTTTTAAATTAGGATGTTGGTAGGAATGAGGAAGAGGGATGGATTTCAGAAATAGTAAGGAAATGTATTAGCAGGACTTGATTAGTGATTGACTTGGGGAAGGAGGGGAAGATAGAGTTCAGGATGACTCCGAGACTGTCTGGTGTCGGTGGCTAATGACTGAAGCTATTAATAGAGGTAGGAAATGCAGACCAAAAGCAGGCCCGGGGTGAGAGATGATAAATTTGAATTTTAACATGTTGAGTTTGGACATCCAGGATGAAATAACCACAAAACATTTAAATATACGAATCTGAAAAGGTAAGCATCATAAGCATATGAGCTATTGGTAAAATTCTGATACTTAATGAAGTCTCGCAGGGAGGCAGTACAGAGGCAAGCAATGGGCTGGGGATAAAACATAGGGAAATGTTATTTAAATAAAGATGAAAGAAAAGGAGCCCACAAACGAAGCTGAAAAGGCATAGTCAAAAAAAGAGGATTGCCAAAGTGCCACCTTTGAAGCTCTGCTGTTACACTTTATAAGGAAACTTTTGGTTACCTGGGATTGCATGCATTTATAAAAGTTTCTATTATTAGGAAGACAATAATAATGATAAGGCTCTTTCTCATTGTTGTCACTGTAATTTATCTATTTAATTATAGAACCCAGTTCCAGGATGCTTAATCTGAAGTGTATACTTGGGGCAAAATGAATTATATCTTAATAATAATCTGGAATTATTCTCTCTAACTTGACATATTTTAATTCTTGCTAGATTTTCAAAACGTCATACCTCGAACCACCACCAGATGGCTATGAGAATGTTACAAATATTGTGCCACCATATAATGCTTTCTCAGCCCAAGGCATGCCAGAGGTAAAATAAAATACATTTGTAACCCAAGTCTTTAAATGGTTCTTTTGCTATATAAAACCTGTATAGAGGACTAAAACCAAGGAAATTAGGTGAATCATTCATGCGGATTCATTTTTTGATATTCAGTACTATGAAAACCTCATCCCTCAAATTTAAAAAATTATAATAAAATAGAAAAGAACACCAGACAGAGAAAAAAGAAACAAAACAAACACATTAAAAACTGACCCTGCTGAAGCAGATGCCACTCTTTGAAATAACAAAGAAACTGCTGAACACGCCTTTAATTCAGTGAGGCAGTAGGTGTTTTTTTGTTTGTTTGTTTTTGTTTCGTTTTGTTTTTTTGAGACGGAGTTTCGCTCTTGTCACCCAGGCTGGAGTGTAGTGGCACAATCTGGGCTCACTGCAACCTCCGCCTCCCAGGTCCAAGCAATTATCTTGCCTCAGCCTCCTGAGTAGCTGGGATCACAGGTGCACACCACCACACCCTGCTAATTTTGTATTTTTTTTAGTGGAGGCGGGGTTTCTCTATGTTGGTCAGGCTAGTCTCGAACTCCCAACCTCAGGTGATCGGCTCACCTTGGCCTCCCAAAGTGCTGGGATTACAGGCGTGAGCCACCACGTTATAAAGGGAAACTTCCTATTTGCCCTCTAAAGGTTTGCAGAAAATGAATGGACAAAACATAAATTAATAGAAGAAAGAGGCAAAAAAAAATTCTGTAAAATGTAGGGGAAAAATCACAGGGTCTCTCTGTTACCCAGCATGAAGTGCAGTGGTGTGATCATGGCTCATTGCAACCTTGAATTCTGAAGCACAAGTGATTCTCCCCCCTAAGCCTATGGAGTAGCTGGGATCACAGGGGCATGCCACCATGCACACATACATGGTTATTTGCTGGAGAGGAGATGGAGACTCTCTGTCCTGGATGTGAGACAGTTGGCTGGCATCTGGGTAAGGATGACATTCCCTCATTGCTAAAGAGTAAAAGAGGAAAGTGTCATGGATAGTGCAAACAGGGACAAGCCCTGACCTAGTGAGGTCCAGAGGCTTATATTGTCCATCATAGGGGAGTGGAAAGAAGCGAGTGTAGGCAACCCAGGGGAAATAAATGACCTAAAATAAAAGAAAAAGATCATCAGAAGTGTACATGTATTAGTCAGGGTTCTCTAGAGTGACAGAATTAAAGGACTATATACATATGTATATGAAAGGGAGTGACATGGTTAATAATGAGTGTCAACTTGATAGGATTGAGGGATATGAAGTATTGATCCAGGGTGTGTCTGTGAGAGTGTTGCCGAAAGAGATTAACATTTGAGTCAGTGGGCTGGGGAAGGCAGACCCACCCTTAATCTGGTGGGTACAATCTAATATGCTGCCAGCAAATATAAAGCAGGCAGAAAAATTTGAAAAGGAGAGACTGGCCTAGCCTCCCAGCCTACATCTTTCTCCCATGCTGGTTTCTTCCTGCCCTCAAACATTGGACTCCATGGCTCTCCTTTCTCATCAGTTTGCAGACAGCCCATTGTGTAACTTATGATCCTGTAAGTTAATAAACTCCCCTTTATAAATAAATATATATATATGTGTGTGTGTGTGCATATATATATGTATGTGTGTGTGTGTGTATATATATATGTATATATCCTGTTAGTTCTATCCCTCTAGATGTCACTGGCTAATACAGGAAGTTTATTAAGTATTAACTCACACAATCACCAAGTCTCACAATAGGCCATCTGCTGGATGAGGAGCAAAAAGAGCCAGCCAGAGTTCCAAAACTGAAGAACTTGGAGTCCATGTTCGAGGGCAAGAAGCATCCAGCATGGGAGAAAGATGTAGGCTGGGAGGCGAGGCCCGTCTCTTTTCACATTTTTCTGCCTGCTTATAGTATGGATGGGTTGGCAGCTGATTGGATTGTGCCCACATAGATTAAGGGTGGGTCTGCCTTTCCCAGCCCACTAACTCACATGTTAATCTTTTTTTGACAACACCCTCACAGACACACCCAGGATGAATACTTTACATCCTTCAATCCAATCAAGTTGACACTCATTATTAACCATCACAAGCCCACCCCTTGTGAACTTGAACCCACACACATCTCCTGAGATCATACATAATCTTAAAGTACAGACAATAGTAAGGTCATAATTACCCCAACATAATAAACTATCCTTCCTTCAACTGGAAATGCACCAATCCCCAACCCAAATACTATTACATAAAGTAAACAATACTTAAATGCTGATATGAGGTGAGCAAATCTATGTCACCTGATAAAGAAAAGGGAAATGAAATGAAGATATTTTCTTAGTACAAGTGCATACATGCACAAACATGTTTTTAACAAAAGAAGAAGGAAATACTCATGATAGTTCCAGTCCTCATTTCTGCAGCTGGTCAGGTGGTCGTAGCTGGTATTGATAACTACTTTCTTCCACTATTCATTCTGTATTCCCTTTGCCTTCAGCAAGCACCTCAGCAGGTCGTGACCCGGAGAGGATCTGGACCACTTGTAGTCCTACCTGGATTGGGTATAGCTTCCCATTTACCTTAATCAGAGTGCATGATAATACCAAGAGATGCCCTAATGGATCTCCTATATTCCATGCATACTCTTCCTCACTTCCGTTGTGGAGTAGCGGACTGACTTCATCTTGATAGTCTGGGTCAATCACTGCCACCAACACTGTAACTCCATTCTTAGCTTGTTGACTTAAAGGTAGGAGGACCCCAAAGCGTCCAACTGGCCATCTTAACTTCCAGTTTAATGGAATCGTTATTGTGTCTCCTGGTAGCAGCGTTCTTCCCTCTGGAGCTAAGATGACTAGTAAAGCAGAACCCAATGTCGTGGGAACAGAAAGCAAACATTTTGCTAGTGCATCATAGTGAGTGGTTCCACTTTCACATCCAACCCTTGAATCCTGGATCTGTGAATCCTGGCTATGGGAGAAACAATACCATACATTGGGCGCTGATTCAGAGCACACATGGTCTTCTGGAGTATGGTGCCCCGAACCGGCCAAGTATTGTAACCTAGTTGACGTTGTAATCACGACCTCAAAAGGCCGTCCCACCATTCTATCAATCCAGCTGCTTCAGGAAGATGGGGAATATGGTAAGACCAGTGAATTCCGTGAACATGAGCCCACTGCCTCACTTCTTTACCTGTAAAGTGAGTACTTGGTCAGAGGTAATGCTGTGTGGAATACCGTGATAGTGGATAAGGCATTCCTTGAGTCCATAAATGGTAGTCTTGGCAGAAGCATTGCATGCAGGTAGGCAAACTCATATCCGGAGTAAGTGCCTGTTCCAATGAGGACAAACCTCTCTCCTTTCCATGGTGGAAGAGGTCCAATATAATCAACCTGTCACCGGGTAGCTGGTCGATCACCCCAGGGAATGATGCCATACAAAGTGTTTACTGTTAGTCTCTGCTGCTGCTGGCAAATTGGGCACTCAGCAGTGGCCACAGACAGTTCAGCCTTGGTGAGTGGAAGTCCACATTGCTGAATCCATGCATAGCCTCCATCCCTGACACCATGGCCACTATGTTCATGGGCTCATTGGACAATGACAGGGGTGTCTGAGGAAAGAGGCTGAGTGGTATCCACAGAACGGGTCATCTTATCCACTTGATTATCAAAATCCTCCTCTGCTGAAGTCACTTGTTGGTCAACACTCACACAGGGTACAAATATCTTCAGTTTTTGACCACTCAGAGAGGTCCATCTACATACTCTTTCTCCAAGTTTCTTTGTCACCAATTTTCCAATCATGCTTCTTCCAAGTCCCTGACCATCCAGCCAAACCATTGGCTACAGCCCATGAATCAGTATATAACCGCACATCTGGAAATTTCTCCTTCCATGCAAAGTGCACAATCAGGTGCACTGCTCAATGTTCTGCCCACTGGGAAGATTGTCCTTCACCACTCTCCTTCAGGGATGTCCTAGAAAGGGGCTGTAGTGCTTCAGCTGTCCACTTTTGGGCGGTACCTGCCTATTGTGGAGAACCATCTGTGAACCAGGCCCTAGTCCTCCCTTCCTGTGTCAACTGCTCAAAGGCAAGTCCCCATGAGGTCATCAGTGCAGGCCGTGGGAGAGAAGGCAGGGTGGCAGGGTGGGCATTTGAGCCACTTCCTCATGTAACTTACTTGTGCCCCCCAGGACCTGCTTGAGCCCAATCCCTTATACACCATTTCCATTTGATGATGCAATGCTGCTGTGCATGACCCACTTTATGGCTACATGAGTCAGAAAGCACCCAGTTCACGATAGGCAGTTCAGGTCGCATGGTGACTTGTTGACTCATAGTCAAATATTCAGTTTCCACAAAAGCCCAGTATAGGACAAGAGCTGTCTCTCAAAAGGAGAGTAGTTAACTGGAGAACATGACCGGGCCTTGCTGCAAAATACTAGAGGACTGCACCATGATTCACCTATGGAGGCCTGCCAAAGCCTCAAAGCAGCATTCCTATCTGCCATGGACACCTCAGGGGGACCCAGCCTCCCCTTCATTCAAGGGGTTCTGGGTCTGTAAACTGGCTCAAGGCTGGAAATTGATTGAGGGGCCATGAATCTCTGTTTTTATAATTCCAATTAGTCTTTTATCTGTTTGACCTTAAGTTTCCTCCTTACATAAATTAAGTAGGAATGCATTAGTCTTCCTGTCAGTTTCACTTCTAGGAGCACTGTGATTAGTTAGCCAATGCCAGAGCTCTACATGAGTCAGACTGTTCAGATTGCTGCTTTGTCTTTTCTGCCCATTACGGTAGCTACACCCACCATGCCTTTGAGGGTTGAGTGCTACCACTTGGCCCCTGCCACTTCAGGATCCAATTATTCCAAATTGTATTTAACTTTTGTAACTGAGTGACTGCAGTTCTCACCATTAGAACTGACATACAGAGAAGAGCCTTTACAGGGCTCTTCAAAGATGCAGGTGCTGTCCTCACAAATCTATTTTGCAAGGTGTTTGTCAAGGGTATTAGGTACAGAGTCACTAAACTCCTTGCCTCTCACGAGCGATGATTCATTAGTGTCGAATGAATTTGTTTTGCATAGCTCTTTAAACCTTTCATGCCAAGAACTGTCAATGTTCTCTACACTATTAAAAGTAGAGTCCTTAGCATTTTGGGATCTAATCATATTTAGCAGCCAAATCCAGAAACCCCAAAACCAACAAAAGAACTCCAACCTTAATATTCTGTTCCTGCAGAACCATTCCTGGTACCAAAATCTGTATTAGTGAGGGTTCTCTAGAGGGACAGAACTAATAAGTTCTATATATATATATGGGTTTATTACATATTATTACATATTAACTTACAGGATCACAAGGTCCCACAGTAGGCTGTCTGCAGGCATGAGGAGTGAGGAGTAAGGAGAGCCAGCTCGAGTCTCAAAAATAAAGAACTTGGAGTCCGATGTTCAAGGGTAGGAAGCATCCAGCACGGGAGAGAGATGTAGGCTGGGAGGCTGGGCCAGACTCACTTTTTCACTTTTTTTCTGCCTGCTTTATATTCACTGGCAGCTGATTAAATGGTGCCCATAGATTAAGTAGGGGGTCTGCCTTCCCCAGACTACTGACTCAAATATTAATCTCCTTTGGCAACACCCTCACAGACACACCCAGGAGCAATGCTTACATCCTTCAATGTAATCAAGTTGACAATCTGTATTAACTATCACAGGATTACAGACCTGAGCCATCACACACAGTGTTATTGTATATTTCATACAATTTCCTGATTTTCCCATTTTATCTGTGACTTAATAAAGTTTTTCAGCTATGACCCCAAACTGTTAATAATTGAAAGCACATTCAAATGTATTTTGCAACAACTCGTAACTGGCAAAATGTTGAGCCTTGTGGAAAGAGTCACCTTACTTCCCCGTCAGCTGTCAATTCCCCATCACTACTATCACTTCTGGGAGCACATTTTCCAAAACTCCTTTTCTCTCTCTGGTTTCTTTAGAGTTGCTCCATGAGGTCACAGTAAGTTACAACTAATTACTGTCATGAGATTGGGAAGTCAGAGTGGTGGATTCATGTACACTGACACCTGAAGTAAAACACATGCTGTTAGGTGTGGACTGGAGAATCACCTGGAGATGTGCTGCAGGCAGCTGAGAGCATCAGCACCCCCAGCTCTGGGCTTCCCAGACAGGACTGAGGATCATCACACGGTGTTCAGCACATACCATCAGGGGCAGGTGAACCCTGGCTTCTGAAGTAGCACCTGAGAATCCCCTGTGTCTAGTACCTGCTTCATGAATAACACTCCATAGGCTTCAGAAAGACTGTGGTTTAGACTCTAATTTATTCAACTTGAATAATTGCTCCTTGAAATACTGAGAATAGCTTCTCTTTTGCTGTACAAATTCCGATTATCCCATAACACAGACACCTCAGCTGGACTTATCTCTCTTCTTTATTCAGTCAGGACAGTCATTGTCATGTCTTTTCTGCTGGGGATGAGGGTGAAAGAGGCTTAGGGTTCAGAGGAACCTCCCTGGCCTCCTCTAGGAAAATCTCCCTATGACTTTCCAAACCTGACTGAGTTTGAGAACTTCCCTCAGCAGATAGAGGCACCAGAAGGAGCATTGGGGCAGCCCAGCCTCACGCATCTGCTTCCTTGGGGTTTATGTTATGACTTGTAACACTGTGGGAGGGATACTGTCACTCTGTTGACAGTAATAAGTTGCAAAATCTTCAGGCTGCAGGCTGCTGATGGTGAGAGTGTAATCTGTCCCAGATCCACTGTCACTGAACCGAGAGGGAATCCCACTTTGCAGACTGGATGCAGCATAGATCAGGAGCTTAGGAGTTTTCCCTGGTTTCTGCTGATACCAATTTAAATTATTGCTAATGCCCTGACTCGCCCGGCAAGTGATGGTGACTCTGTCTCCTACAGATGCAGACAGGGAGGATGGAGACTGGGTCATCTGGATGTCACATCTGGCACCTGAAGTTGGAAACATAAAAACAAATATTCTTGCAATTAATCATGTTATCAGAGGACTTCCCTGAAGTTCCAGACAGTACTGAGCACACTGACCAAGTATAATCCTAGTGTTCTCCTTCCTTACCTGGCAGCCAGAGCACCAGGAGCCCCAGGAGCTGAGTGGGGGCTCTCACGTCTGTGCTGTGTCCTGACTGGGACTGACTCCTGCACCGGGTGTGACCAGCCTATAAAAAGTCTTCAGGGCAGGGGGCTGTGCTCTAGGAACAGGGAAATCAGCAGGGGATGGGGCAGGCTGAGCACAGCTGCAGGGCTGGCTCATTTCAGTAACTCAGCACAGGGGCGCAGTATCCCCAGAGTCCCAGGTCAGACCAGGGCAGCACAGATTTACCTTGAAAGAATACATTTCTCATTGGTGGCCATACGGTTACAGAACATATTTTTGGAGTGAATTTTCAAAATTTTAAATCAACCTAAGACTAGATTAAATAATATATTTATACTTGTATTAGGAGTGTATAGGGAAGCATCATTTTTGGCAGAAAATTTACAATAAAGTTGTAGAATGTGGGGCTGTCAGAAATTTCAGTTAGTCTCAAAGGAATTTGAAGAGTGTAAAAGTATTTAGTGCTATAATAACAATGTCTCTGTCAGTGTGAAATTTCTTCTTTTTTGAAATGAATATAAAAAGAATTTATCAGAAGCATCTTTAATAAATTCAATAGAATTTACTAACAAACTTAAGACATTGTTCCTAGGAGTAAAAGGAAAAACAATTCTCTGAAGATGCACAAAGATGATAACTGTGTCACGCATAGATCTGCCATTAATTATCCAGAGCTATGGGTCTCTTTAAGACCCAGGGGCTAAATGGGCTGCACCTTATTCTTGGTGTGATGATCCCCATATTCTATCCCCTTTCCTGCCTTTGGTATAATTTCTTATGGTTCTCCAGCATGGAGAGCTGACTAGTAATACCAGGTCTCATTATTTCAACTAAAAACTCTGTTTCACTCGCTGACTATAGGAGCCTGGATTAAAATCAACTTGAAGCCCTCTATCAATCTAGGCTCAAATAGTCAATTGTTTCAAAGTAGGATGACAAAGGCCACATCCCCTGAGTAATGCTCTGAGCTGCGCTCCCCACCAGCCTGTTCTTGGGGTCTCAGGAGCATTTGCCCTAGAGTCTGGCTTTCTGGAGAGCAAGTGAGGGGGGAAAAGCCAGGTCAGTGAACCTCTCTCCTTAGCGAGGGCAGCTGCTGCCCAATGCATGTTCTTGCCATGCACCAGGGCAACATCCTGACCCAGATGCCAGCCACCCTGTCTCACATCCATTTAGAGAGAATCTCCATCTTCTGCCAAGACACTGCCCATGTAGATGAAAAAGTATTTTGCATCCAAACATATCTTAAGCACTGATTTGAACCTCAATACTTCACACAGATGCCTTTGTCCAGGGTGTGTCGGCCTGGCTCAACAGCAGGGGAAGTGGAGCCAATTACGTCAGTGTCAGTGGACTGAGAAATACTCCAGGGAGTAGTTCTCATGCACGACTACCAGTGGCCAGACCAAGGTAGTGCAGCCTGTGCACAAACCTCCTGCTGCTTTTCCAGAGGACTGGATTTCTGGGAAATGGCTACTGAACAGGCTGCCGGGATCCATATATCCAGATTCAGAGAGATACATCTCTGGATTCAAATGCGCTTTTTCTTTGTGCATAATTTTTGCAGTCATTGTTACTACGCCTTGGGGATTCTAGTCATTATACTTCAGCCGACTCTCTATGGCCCTTTCTCCCCTTCACTGCTCTATCTGAACCTGGGGAAGCAGCTCAGGCTGCAAATGAGGCAGACCTCATGGCCTGGAATTAACATCCCCTAGGACGGCTGTCAATCAGTGATGACAAGGGAGGTGTACACATCCCCCAGCTCCCTCACCTCTCAGGTGGAATAACAGAGGCATTTTTCCTGTGTTTCTATGTGGGCTTGAGCTCTCGTCATCCTCAGAGGTGGCTCCTTCTGAGGCACCTTTCACTTTCCCTTTCCCTCCTCCCCTCCCTTGCTCACTTGCTTGTTTCCCGCACTTTGTAAATACACTGCCTGCATGCGAATCTTTGGCATCCTTCTCACTGAGGGGACCCAACCTAATGCATTGGAAAAATCCTCATTCTTGGAGGGCATCATTGGTTTGAATTATTGCCACTTCTCCTGTTTTAATGCCTAGGGAAATTCCAAAAATTTAGGAAATCTTTAAATTCCCTTTGCCAATCTTTCTTAGATTTGATTTTAGCAGAGATTCATTTTCTCTAGGTCACAAAATCACAGAAGCCTTCCACAAATGGCTACACAACATAGAGTCCACATAGAGCAGAGACTCAGAATCTCCCAGGATTTGACATCCACACATCAGACAGTCCTAGAGTCTCAGGTTTTTTCTAGGTCGATCGCCTCATAAATCTGCCTTGTGATATTTTTATTCTACCTTAGGGGAAGACCATTGTGTGGATGATGAGAGTTGTTTGTGGAATAAATAATACACCCACTAAAGACATCATTGTCCTAATATCTGGAATCTATGATCATTACTTATGAATATGTCAAAAATAACTTGGCAGACATGGTTGAGAATTTTGGGGTCAGGAGAGTATCCTGAATTATCTGGGTGAGACCATCATAATCACAAGGGTCCTTACAATAGGGAGGGAGGAAGGTAACAGCCAGAGAGGACCTGGGACAACGGACGGGGAAACTGGAGTGATGGAGGTAGGGGCCATGCTGCTAGGAATGTGGGAACATCAGAAAGATGGAATGCTCGATATTGGATTCTCTCTCTTGAAGCCTAGACTGAATAGAGCCCTATTACTCCTTGATTTTACTTCATTGAGACTTCTGACCTCCAGAAATGTAAGGTAATACAGTTGTATTATGTGTAGCAGTAAGGTTGTGGTAATTTGTTACAGCAGCAACAGGAAACCAATGCAAGGGGAAGGGGTGTGTTTTACTTCCCTAGTGTATCACTGTCCTCTGTTCTCCCAAATAGTTCTGTGTTTTTGTGTTTGCTGTCAATTTCAAGAAGAGACAGAAAACATTTTCCTATGAGGAGAGCTAGCACCACAATTCTTCTTACGTAGAAAGTGTCTTGAGTAATTCTCTGGGTTAGGTCTTGTATAATCTTGGTATCTGAGAGCCTGGAGGTCATCCCTCACAGCACATGAGAAGAGGAAGGGGATGCGGGTTTGCTGTTTTAACATTTGTGGGGCAAATTAGATGTACAAGACTCATCCTTTATTATTATTATTATTATTATTTAAGTTCTAGGGTACATGTGCACAACGTGCAGGTTTGTTACATACGTATACATGTGCCATGTTGGTGTGCTGCACCCATTAACTCGTCACTTACATTAGGTATACCTCCTAATGCTATCCCTCCCCCCTCCCCCCACCCCACGACAGGCCCTGGTGTGTGATGTTCCCCTTCCTGTGTCCATATGTTCTCATTGTTCAATTCCCACCTGTGAGTGAGAACATGCAGTGATTGGTTTTTTTGTCCTTGCGATAGTTTGCTGAGAATGATGGTTTCCAGCTTCATACATGTCCCTACAAAGGACATGAACTCATCCTTTTTTATGGCTGCAAGCGAGGACTGAGTCAGAGAGATGGGGATGGCAGAGGAGACAAAATGTGGTCAGGGCCGTGTAAGATGTGACCCTGCTGCCATATCTGAAAGAAAGGCTGTTGGTGTTTGTAAAGGCTTTGGGCAAATTGTGCTTTGTAGACAAAACTGTAGAAGGGTCTGGGTTTAAGCTTAGTGTCAGCGTGATGAGGACTAGAGGTCGCAGTGAGCTTGTGTTAAGAAATCCACCCTGCACTTCTGGCTTTGTCTCTTTCCTGGTTTTATAGGTGGTGGGTTCCTCTATGGAATGAACGTGGCTCTGTGGAAGGAACATAGTTAAGGTCAGACAGACCTAGATTCCAAGTTCAGCTTCAACAACTGCTGACCAAGTGACTTTTATGCAAATCAGCCATGTGCTGTCATGAACAGTTTCCTCATGTGTGAAATGGGGCACTGAGGATGTGAAGGGGTGTCCTGAGGGTTCCGCCAACTGATGCACCATGAAGTGTACATACATGTATAGACAGACACACACACATACATGAGAAGAGTATCTAGTGCCCCTTTTATGCATTCTTGAGTAACTCAGAATGTTATGTGAGATATTAACAGTCATATGTCATTTTCAACTAAAATTATCAATATTTATCTTATAACTAACAGATGCTTCTCTGTACGCTGTAGGTTTCATGTACATTTCTTCAATCACAAAATTTTTCACCAATCTATTTATGTCTAGTATCAGAAAGTTAAGCAAGGAGATTGCAAACCAACACAACACCTTTAGTCTGGATTTTCCCGGAGCCCCATTTGTGTTAGTGTCCTCGGGCTACTGTAACAAGTTCTCAATAATGTGGTAGCTTCAAACAACAGGAATGGAATCTCTCATAGTTCAGAAGTCCAGATCAGTTTCACTGGGCTAAGATCTTGGAGTCATCAGTTCTGGCTCCTTCTGAAGCTCTAGGGAGCAGTCTGATTTAGCTCTTCCAGCTTCTGTTGGCTTCTCTCTCCCGGGATGTGGACACATCACTCAGTTCTTGGCAACCTGGTTGCTATAAAAATAAACTCATGACTTTGAAATTAGTTGGGTTATTTCATTGTTGTAAGGTTAGGAGCCCTATTCCATCCCAGCTCTCCAAAACCCAGAATTTTTGGGGGGTTGAAATTTTAGGCTTTCTCTTTTAATTGTAGTTTTATCCTATTTCAGTTACAATTTTCATTTTCATAATGATTAATGACGCTAAGCTTTTTTTGTGTAGTTGACTCTACCTTTGGGTTTTTTTCCCAAATCCCTTTTCATTTCTTTTCTTTATGGTTTTAGAAAATGTAGTTTACATAATTGCAGCTTGATTTTTACTCAGTTAATGGCATGCTTAATGGAGAGAAAAAATATTAACTATATATCCCCTTTTAATTACTGTGCTTTTTTCTTTTTTAAGGAAATATTTCATTATGTTAAATTTTAGTGTTATTCTATTTAGCTATTCCTTAAATATTATAGTATTTTGGATTTCACATATAAATTTGTTACACATCTTGAGTTTATTATGTAGAGAGTAAGGCTATTTTCTCTTTTTTTTTAAGGTAAAAATCATATAATATAAAATTAATAACTTAAGCATTTTAAAGCATACCACGCAGTTGCTTTTAGTATATTCACAATGTTCCAGGACAATTTCATCATGTCCCTTCTAAAAACCCATTATGCATAAAGTTGTTACACCCTATTCTGCTTCCCTGAGCCCTAATGACCACTAATCTGATTTATATCCCAATTGATTTGCCAATTCCTGATGTTTCATGTGAATAAAATCAAGTAATATTTGTCCTTTTGTGCACTTAACATAATGCTTTCAAATTTCACCCATATTATACCATGTATAAGTACTTCATTCTTTGTTACAGCTGAAAATTGGGTGTCCATTTATGAGTCAACAAGCACATGGATTGTTTCCACTTTTTGACTGTATGAATATTACTGCTGTAAATATTCATGCACATGTTTATTTTTTGTGCACCTATGTTTTGTAAGATTAACAGCTGACTTAACAGAAACAATGGAAGGCAAGAGGTAGTGGGATAATATATTCAAAAGATGCAAAGGAAAAAAAACTGTCAGCCACCAATTCCTTATCCAGCAATTAGTTTTCAAAAATGAAGATAACACAAAGACTTACCCAGAGAAACAGAAATATTAACTGAAGTTATTGCTGGCAGACTTATCAAACAAACAAAAAAAGAAAAAACACCAAAATAAATTCCTAAGGCTAAAAGCAAGTTGCACAAGACAGTCATTTGAATCCACTTTTTTTAAAAAGCACTGGTATAGGTAAAATTAACATTATAAAAGACAGTAGAAATGCATGTTTTCTGTTTATCATAAATTGTTTATAAAATGTGTATAATGGCCAGGCACGATGGCTCACGCCTATAATCTCAGCATTTCAGGAGGCTGAGGCGGGCGTATTACGAGGCCAGGAGATCGAGAGCATCCTGGCTAACATAATGAAACCCCGTCTCTACTAAAAATACAAAAAATTAGCCGGGCGTGATGGCGGGCACCTGTAGTCCCAGCTACTCGGGAGGCTGAGGCAGGAGAATGGCATGAAGCCAGGAGATGGAGCTTGCAGTGAGCGAAGACTGTGCCACTGCACTCCAGCCTGGGCAACAGAGGGGGACTCCGTCTCAATGATAATAATAATAATAATATATGCATAATGTATTGCTGAGTATTTGACATGTAGAAATGTAATATGTCTATAACATACTTTCCAGTAACATCAAAAAGGAGGTAGTTGGAAGAAAAATATATCGTGATAAGGTAATCACTCTAGATGGTAAAGTAATAATTACTAAAATGTATTGTTGGCTTTGTAACTTTAATAGATGTAATGTGTAAAGTGATAATACTTTAAAATGGAGGAAATAAAAGAGATTTGTATAAGAATGATGTTTCTATGTGTTACTAAAATTTTACTAGTATAAGTTGGAAGGTGATTTGAATAATTAATTTTCCGTATACCTATATGGTAAACTTACAACAACAAAAATTCTCAAAAATATATAGTAAAATAATTCATTAGTAATCTAAAGTTCCCTATTTTAGAAAATATTCATTCATTGCAAAATAAAGCAATAAAGATAAATATTTGAGAAATATACAAAACAAACGGTAAAATGGCAGACATAAACAGAATTATACCAATTATAATATTAAATGTGAACAGATTAAAATCCAATCAAGAGGCAGAGATTGTCAGACTGGATTAAAACAAGTGATCCCAATATACTCGGAGATGCAAGGATACTAATGGGTTGAAAGTAAAAAAGATGACAAAAATTATCATGCAAAGGGCAATCATAAGAACACTGAACTCATTATACTCATAAGACACAATATAGACTATTAAAAATGTGAATAGGATTTTAAAAATTTATACTGTATTAAGAAGGGGGTCAACGCTTTAGGAAGACATAGCTATTACAATCATGTATGCACAGATAGGAGCTAAATTGTTTTCCTCTATATAGATGCTGAAATCTTAACCACTGAATATGACCTCATGAGGAAATAGGTTCTTTGCAGGTGATCAAGTTAAGATAAAATCAGATGAGCTTGAATTCAATATGACTGATGTCCTTATAAAAAGAAGAAATTTGAGCAGAGGGAGACATACACACAGGGAGAGTACCATGTGATTATGAGGGCAGAGATTAGCCAAGGAAAGCCAAAGACTGCCACTAAACCACCAGAAGCTAGACACAAGGCATAGAACAGACTTTCTCTCATAGCCCTTGAAGGGACCATCCCTGCTGACACCTCAAGTTCAGATTTTTAGCTTCCAGGACTATAAGACTATAAATGTATGTTGTTCAAGGCACCCAGTTTATGTTACTTGGTTATGGCAGCCCTAGAAAACTAATACATGAACTAATAACAAAGCATAATAACATGAAGCAAAAATTGACAAAAGAGGAGCATCAGCAAAATGGCACTGGAGACAGCTGCAATCTTTCATTTCCCCACAGAAACATCACACAACTAAGAGAAACTGTCCGAATGAACTTTGCCAAAACTCTGGAAAATGGTCAAAAGATTACAACAACCGAGTGATAGCGGACTAAAGAAAAAGACAACTGGAAAACTTTATGACATTTTTAACTTGCCTTTGCCCCAGCAAATTGGCAGTTTTGAAGTGTCAGAGGCCCACGTTCCCAGTGAGAAACCCTGGTCCATGGTCCAAAGGAACAAGAGAAGATCTTACCCGCAAATTATTATGTGTCTGTTCTGACTGGTCTGGGGGATACCTAAAGGACTCATTAAAGGCTTTTTTTTTTTTTCTGTGTTGCTAGAATACAGAACAGATAAGGAATGGACATTATTAAGAAACTCTGCAAGGAGACCTAACAAACCAGAGACGCTTAGGGCAAAAATTAGAGTTTACACATATAGTAGATCACCTTCAGCACAGGAAGAAAAGTTGGAGAAGAGTATTTGGAAAACTAAGACATTCAAAATCATTCACGTACATGGGAGAGTCTAGAAAGTCACATTTATGCATAGGTTAAGCCACATGCTGACAAATGTCATAAGAAGACCCTACACTTTTACCTTGGCCGATCCCTCCCCTCAGTGCAGGCTCTGTGCAAGAGTGAACTTGAACTTCACTCAGTGCAAGAGTGAACACACACTTTGTGTCGGCTTTAAAGAACCCAGCACAAAGCCAGTCTGCATGGCCTAGAGACATATTTTGCTGGATAATGATTACTTGTTTTTCTTTGTGTTTGTTGTATTTGCCTGTTTGCTTAATTCCTGACATACAAGAAAATCACTGTCAAAACATTAGCTTAACATTTGTTAAGGAAACGAAAAGACTTCGGTGACCACACCTTATAAAGCAAACAGTTTTGCACATCACTTTGGAAAATTTCACTAAAAATAAAAACCTTGAGAATATAATAAGTAAATAAAATTTAAAACCACAAAACATTACTGTGTTTGTGGGGGGGGGGGTTCTGATTTACAGAATAACCACATAGTAATTATAATTATTATAACGTCCAGTTTTCAAAAAAAGTTACAAGACATACAAAGAATGGGAAAGTATGGCTCATTCAAAGGAACAAAACAAACTGACAGAAAGTATCTCTAAGGAAACCCAGACTTCAAACTTACTAGACAAAGACTTTAAAACAACTCTCTTCATTATACTCAAATGTCAAAAGGAAAACATAAACAAAGAAATCAAGGAATCAGAAAAAATATTAAAAAGTAGGAATATCAACAAAGAGATAACAGAAATTCTGGAGTGGAAAACTACAATGATAATAATTCAAAAATCACCAGAGGGATTTCAGAGTATATTTGCACACACAGAAGAAGTCATGAACTTGAAGATAAGAAAATGGAAAATACTGACTCTGAGAAACAGAAAGAATAACAAACAAAAAATGAGCAGAGACTAAGGAATCTGTGGGACATCATCAAATAGACCAACATTCATATTCTAGAAGGATAAATTATGTTGTTAAAAACTTTACCATTCATTCTTTTCACATTTCTTTCTTCCTCCCTCCCCCTCCTCCACCTTTTTACTTTTCTTCCTCCCTCCCCCTCCTCCACCTTTTTACTTTTCTTCCTCTTCCTTTCTCTTCTTTCTCTCCTTTATTATCCCTTTCACTCTGTTTCTCTTTCTCCCTCTCTTTTTTCTTTTCTTTCAATTTTCACAATTACTAAGAGATGTTTAAATACCCTTACCATGTTAGTAGATATGGTTATTTCTCCTTTTACTTCTCTTTTGAGATTTATAGTCACTCTAAGTAAAGAGATAACCCAAACATAAGCCTCACAAACAGGCTTGCTTACCATTCTTAATTTGGTCCTGTAATTCTTCATTGCTGTATTAACTTTCTGATGCTTTTAAGGATGTTTTATAACAAATTGTTTAGTTTTCTCCAACGGAATGTTTATTCTGGGTTATCTAATTCATATTGTAAGTATATAAGGTGTTTAATATAAAATTATTAAACTAATATTTGTGAAAGAATGTATTTGTGCATTTAACAAATATGTTAATCCTCAAACAGTTATTGGGCAGCTGAGCATACAGCAATAAAAATAACATAATTTTTATGTGTACAATATTTATGGAATAAATTACTGAAACCAATAAATACTTTAGTTAATAACATGACCAAGAACAGAAACTGTATACACTATAGAGCATAGTAATGGAATAATGATTAAAGTTATTAATATTAGGTAGAATATGAAGGGTATCTTTGAGAGCAGAACTCAAGGAAGCAAGCAATTCGCCTTACGAAAAAAGAGTTACCTGTGGATAAAAGAAAAACTGAAAATTTACAAGTCAAGACTTTTTGAGCAAAAACAAAAATATGACTATTAGTCACCAATTCAGTACAGTGGAAAAAAAAGTTGAAGAGATATCTTGGAAGTAAACCATGTTGCGGAAGAGCATGTAGGGTTTTGATAATCATGGGATGATTCTGAATTAATTTTAAATGCGATAGGAATATATGAGATAATTTCACCAGAGAATAACATGACTGTGTTTGCATTTCAAAGGGGTGTATCTCGTGCACTGTGAAGAATAAATAGGTTATGTGAGCAAATAAATTCGGAGGCTATTGTAATCCACAGAAAATAGGTAGTGACTTAGGTGAGAATGCTGTGAGTATGAGTGGTATTAGTGGTGAGAAGTCGTCAGGCCATGGATGTATTTCAGAGGACTGGCCAAGAGAACTGCAGCTAAATTGGAGTGTAGGGAGTGAAATGGAGAACTCAAAGATGACTCTCAGCACTGGAAGGTGACAGCTGTCACTGAAGCAGGCTGATGCCTCTTATTAAGAGAGTTACTTGGGAATGGCAAGATCAAACCTTCTCACTTTCAAATTTATGAAAAATATTGTTTTCAGAACGAATGACTTTGGGATCAGAAAGCCATCATTCTAATTGATGGTTCCACAACTACATGGGCTCACACTCCCAAGAGCAAAAGTAAATCATCACAAAGGTGCTTCCTGATAATTCTAGAGAATGGAGAATTACTGTAACATCTTTCTGATTTTAGGAGAGGTAGCAGTTCCCTTTTTAACCTAAACGCTATTTTTCTTTAAAGCTCAGCCAAGAGACTCCATTATAATTTTCAAATGTGTGTAACTTAAATTCTCATATGAAATACCACTATGCTTAAATTAGTCAAAACATTTTCCCGGTCTACAACTCTATCTTGTCATTGCAATCATTTTCACAAAAGTGACTGCAGCTCACAGACCCTAAAAGGGGAAAATCCAGGGTAGGTTATCTGGTCTAGTTAGTTTTGAAGACAGGATCTAGAGATTATTTAATATGAAATAGGTCACCTGAAATGAAGTGTTTATTGAAAACAGCTTGGATCAACCCAGTTTTCTACCACTGAACCACGCATTTGGTTTCAAAAACACAACAACTCTGGGGAATATCGGCTGCTTCCAACTGTGTTGAAGGTGTTAAAGAAAAGAGCATAAAATTATAAATGATCATCTGAGGCCTTTATAGTCTCTGCTCAAGAGACCAGCGTCTTCCATTCTTAACGAAACACCCAAATATCTTAATAGTTGGGCAAAATCTTACTATCAGAGAGATAATTTTATCTTGAAGACTGTTAAATTATAATGGTGATTCACTACCTTGCCACGTCTCTGACTCAAAAATTAGATCTTTGTTTAGGAATCAATGGTACTCTGCAACTTGGAAATAGGAAGATTTTAAAAGACTCAAACACTGACTTTCTTGTGTGCAAAAAAAAGACGTATTGAGATAAGACAAGTCTTTCCTTGCAAGGATACCTGTAATGCTCACACACCACCTCCCCTAACGTTAATATAGCTTCCAGGCCACTAACCGGTGTCAGAGAGCAGCCTATGCAACTACAGATTCAAAAGATGTCAAACACAGGGTCAAGCCTAGAATAAGAAGTCTTAGCTAATTAAGTATGCTTTTTCCCCCAAATTCATATTAACAAAAACTTAGATATGTCACAGAATGCATTCTAAGTTCACTCAACCTAGGAAGGAGAAACATAATTTTAAATTAAGAGCTGAAGCATTCTTGTCCTAACAGAAAGCAAGGAAAACGAAATATCACACCACAGGAGGGATTTCACAAATTAGTGTCAACATCAAAACCTTAAAATAGGCAAGGAGAATGCAGATTCACAATGAACTCTTGTACTTGTTTTGTTCAGAGAAGAGATGGTTCTGAGAGAATGACAGTGAATTAACCCCAGCTGGTTTAGTTGGTGCTTTCAACTGCTGCTTCTGATCAACTCCTTTAGCTAGAATAAATTGATGAGGATTTTGGCATGTGGTATTAGAGATGATTATTAATTTTTTCCTCGTATTTGCATTGTTCAATGTAGTAAATACTAGCTGTATATGGCTGCTTCAATTCAAATTAATTACAATGAAATATACTTAAATATTGAATTTTTTAGTCATTCTTGGTTGATTATTGAATATATTCAGCTAAGATTTCCCATCTAAATACACTAAGAGGTGGCTTAGTTAACTGGTCGTCCACAAATATTGAAGCTGTTGTTAACTCCTGATATATCCTCTGCAAATAGAATATTCATGAGCCTCCTCCTGAAACCAGCAGCCTACAGATAATTTTATAAATTGGATACAAGTTGGAAATCTATACTCTTTAAGTTTTTGAAATATTAGCTTCCCAGGCAAGAAAATCAAATTCATAAGATACGTTAGGACAATTTAACTGAAGATGTTCAAAACTGAAATGACATATTCTACAATATGTGATAAAACCACCCGCTAACAACTTAAAGCAAAACAGGGATTGACCTTAAAGACCTGCCTTTTCCTCATGCCCCAGCCAATCAGTTTTCAAATCTTGCATTTTATTTTGAAAGGTCCTTATCCCCCAGTCTCTTGTTTCTAGACTTGGCACATATTTGTAACCTCTATCTACTGACTTTCCTCTCTTCACTGTCTACCAAATGTGAATATACAAAAAATCAGAATGTGCCATTCTGATTTAAACTGCTTATTAGTTAATACTCTCAAGATAACATCTGGGTTCTTAGATGCACTGAGTCAAGCCTACTTACATCTTTTTTTGTCTTCGGCTGCACTTTTCCTATCACATCACACTCCAGCAATGCCAAGCTGTGCGGGCCTTCTACCCCATCTCCACTATTTTGCCCCCGCCGCCGAGGCTTTTTTCCGCCTTCTCAGCGGCTTTTTGTCGCCACGCCTTTTTACCCCCGCCGCCGCGACTTTTCGCTCCCCGCCGCTGCAGCTTTTTGCCTCCGCGGCTTTCTTCCCCCGCCGCCGAGGCTTCTTGCGACTTTTTTCCCCCGCTGCCACGGCTTTTTGCCCCCGCCGCCGCGACTTTTGTGGATTTTTGTCCCCGCCGCCGCTGATTTTGCCCCCGCCGCCGCGGCTTTTTGTGGAAATTTGTCCCCGCTCCCGCTGATTTTTGCCCCCGCCGCCACGGCTTTTTGCCCCCACGGCTTTTTTACCCCGTCTCAGCGGCTTTTTGCTGCCGTGGCATTTTGACCCCGCTGTTGTGGCTTTTTGCCCCCGCTGCCGCGGCTTTTTGCTCCCGCCTGCGTGGTTTTTTGCCCGCGCTGCCGAGGCTTTTTGTCGCCGCGGCTTTTTGCCCCCGCCGCGGCGACGTTTTCCCCCCGCCGCCGGGGCTTTTTGCTCCCCGCCGCCGCGGCTTTTGCGCCTTTTTGCCCCTGCCGTCGAGGCTTTTTGTTGCGGCCTTTTGACCCCGCTGCCCTGGCTTTCTGCCGCCGCGTCTTTTTGCGGCTTTTTGCCCCCGCCGGTACGGCTTATTACCGTCGTGGCTTTTTGTCCCCACCGCCATGGCTTTTGCCGCTGCGGCTTTTTTCCCCCGCCGCCGCGGCTTTTTGCCAACGTGGCTTTTTGGCCTAGCCGCCCTGGCTTTTTAACCCTGCCGCCGAGGCTTTTTGCCCCCAGCGCTATGGCTTTTTGACCGCGCCGCCCAGGCTTTTTGCTGCCGCGGCTTTCTGCCCCCGCCGCCGCGGCTTTTTGCCCCCGCGGCTTTTTTGCCCCCGCGGCTTTTTTGCCCCGTCTCAGCGGCTTTTTGCTGCCGTGGCATTTTGCCCCCGCCGTTGTGGCTTTTTGCCCCCCGCTGCCGTGGCTTTTTGCCCCCGCCGCCGCGGCTTTTGCGCATTTTTGCCCCCGCCGTCGCGGCTTTTTGCCCCCGCTGCCCTGACTTTTTGGCGCCGTGGCTTTTTGCGCCCTGCCACCACGGCTTTTTTCTCCCCGCCGCCGGGACTTTTTGACCCCGCCGCCGCGGCTTTTTGCCCCCGCCGCGGAACTGGGGGCTGTCAGTGCCCAGGAGGACAGAGGAGGCCACGGTGATGACCTGTACGCTGTGCCACACAGAAATCAGGCGTTTTCTGTGTTCCCAGTTTTCTTCTTGACATTCACCCTGATGTTAACTTTTGGTAAATTAGCGCCTTGCTAAGGATTTCTTCTCTCTATTCTGCATTTGATAGCATTTGCTTTGGGGCTTATTTTTTTAAACGTGTCCAGCCTCATTTCTATCTGGTTAGATTAAAACAAACTTCTTTCCTTTAACTTGCAAAAACAGAGATGAACATCTTCATATTGTTAATGTGGACTTCCATTCACAGCTTAGCAATTTTATGGGCAGAAGAGCACAATGGGCTCAACTATCCAGGCTTTAGGAGTTATTTTAATCTTTAAAGAGCAATAGGTACAAGTAAAAGTACTACATAAAGTAGGTATTTAATATTTAATTTTTATTCTCATATGCATGAAAAGGGTGTTCCAAAAAAAGAGAAGTCCATGGCATGTCTTTATGGTTAATCTTACTTTATTTTTTGGTTCATCTACCATGCTTCTTACAAGTTACTTGTTTTTTCTTTCATGAAAAATTTTTTTAAATGAATTGATTTTACTTTTCATCAGCACAACTGTTGACTAATACCAAAGTTAGCTAGAAGGCTATGATTTTTATATTTATAGAATGGCAGGGGCAGCATTCAGATAATACATCATAGTAACTTGGCATTTATGAAATATTAGTTTTCCATAAACAACTCAGAGGAAGGATTTTTTTTAATTATAATATTTTGAAAACCATCTGTCCATTAAAATGTTACTAAAATATGTATTGGAACTGGTGTTTTAGATGCCAGTCCTTCCTGAAGAGTGTTTTGAGATTTTTTTCAAATACTGCCTCAGTTCTATATAAAATAGTAAAAATTCTGCCTTTTAAAATGACTACTGGATGTAGGTAAGAAGAAGTTAAGGAAATATTACATAAAAATAAATTTGCAAAAGTAATTTACTCAAGGATTATTTACACTTTGATGAGTGGATCTGGATATTTTGATACTAAGTGAAAGTGGTTCCCCTATAATTATAAGGGAACAAATATCTGCAAGTAGTAGTTAAAAGAATGTATATAGGCCGGGCACGGTGGCTCATGCCTCACCTCAGGTGATCCACCCGCCTCGGCTTCCCAGAGTGCTGGGATTACACTCATGTTAAGTGTTACTCTAATTATATCAGTAATTTAAACCTCAAAAGAGATTCATTATGTATACAAAATTAATCTTGTGTAATTAAATTTAAAAGTAAAATTAATGGAAGAAATCAAAAAACACAAGGTGGCTCACACCTGTAATCTCATTGCTTTTGGAAGTCTAGGTGTGAGGATCCCTTGACCTAAGGAGTTTGAGACCAGTCAAGCAACACAGTGGGACCCCATCTCTATAAAAAAATTAGCCGGGTATGGTGGTGCGTGCCTGTAGTCCTAGCCACTTGAGAGGCCGAGGCAAAAGTATCGCTTGAGCCTAGGAGTTGGAGTCTGCTGTGAGCTATGATCACACCACTGCACTCCTGCCAGAGCAAAAGAGGGAGACTTTAAAAAATAAATAAATATATCACAAAACACTTGTGATTCCAAGTCCAGATATATAAACCACAGGAATACTTATATAAACACACGTTATACATACATATAGTATATGTATGATAAAATATACTTGTATGTTCAACTTGGGAAAGGTTGATGATTTTAGAAACAAACTAATAATTCTATTGCCTTATGCTCGAATGATTTTCAATTTGAAGATGTATTTGGGATCAAATACTTGAGGCTCCGTACACAAGACATCTTTTTTTCCCCTCAGAATCATTTTTTGGCTGATTATTGGACTACAATTGGGAGATCTAGAACTAAATTCCTGCTTAGTGTTTACTTGTTCAGAGCATAGGCATTGAAATCGTCCTGTTTTGCCTCAGTCTCCACAATAGTACCTACTAACCTCATGACTAGGGGATCGTGTAGCATTTCTCTAAGCCTTGTTTTTCTTAGCTGTGAAGTGGTAAATTTTGAAAGTGCTTTGTTCATAGGATTTCTGTGAAAACCAAACTGGGTAAAGAATGTAAGGCATTTAGCACAGTAAAATAACCTGGATTACAGTAACTTTTCATGGAGTGTTTATTAGTACTTAAACTGTCATTGTCATCAAAATTCTGTTTTTACATATGAACTTAGAAATGTCATTGTAACCTTCTCAAATCATTTAGTTATTTAAAATGGAGAGGTTGAGTTAGGTGTTTCTTACATTTCTCTTTAGCTCTGATACTATGAGTCTGAAGTTAAGTAATGCAAAGTTGGTAATTAAATCTTCCCCTTTCATGATGTAGGAGAAAGGGAGAAAGAAAACTTCTGGGTAACTGGATTCCCTTGCAAGTTTATTAGAATTGTAATTATGTAGCATTTTGAATAAAGCATTCATTCTGGAAATCATTACGTTTACTTTTCTTAACTCCGTATTTTGTCAACTGTGGAAAAATTGGGATTTAGGAGTAACCTCTGATTTAAAATTCCACCTGTTAATCATTTAAATTGTAGTCTTGTAATTTCCTAACTTTGGTCTTGAAGGTGTTTATCATTCTTATGCGCTATTATACTGTATTATATATTTATGCAACATAAAATGTATAGTTTTAACTATTGTACATGGTGACATATGAAAGGTATAGTTTTGAACTTATCATTATTCAGTTTGTTAGTTTTGCTTCACTATTCATTTTTGACACATCCATATTAGTACATGCAACTCAAGTTTATTCTTTTGAGCTACTGTATATCATTCAAATGTATGAATAAATAACCTTGCTTTGGTGGACATTTAAGTATTTTCATGTGTCAGTATGAAAAGCAGTTTCAAAATGAACATTCAAATATACATTTTCATATATAATATTTGTATATATGAAAGTCCTATGGGTTATATATCTGAAATCAAAATTACAAGTGTTTTGTAACTTCTATAATTAATTTTACTCTCAATTTTAAGTAAACAAGATTAGTTTTTGCACATGATGAATCTCTTTATTCAGTTAATTACTGCCATAATTAGAATACCACTTAAAACTTGAGAATATTTTCAAGGGTATTTATGCTAAACTTACATAAGTGTGTTGAAAAGTCCTTTTGTATATATGTAGAGATTACATGGTATGTTAAATTCATCAATTTGCCTAAATATCAAGTTATACTTAAGTAGTGTCCATACACAATTTTTTTGCTTGACTGAACTCCAATATGTATATGGGGAGTACTTTTTAACATTCATAGGTTAAATGGCCTGTTTTGGAAAATGATAGTAAAAATGTAATTCAGATGAATGCTTAGATTAAAGATGAATGAGCTTTCATATTAATCATCAATATGACAATCCTAAAGGGAAGCATGATTTTCAAATGTACCTCCTTGTAAGCAGGATAATTCAGAAATGCACAGTGCATATTAGATATGGGATTTGAGTCGTAGTATATTTCTCTAAGAATGTAATTTATTGTACTTTCACATCCACCCCACTGAATATGCAGAGTTTAAGATGCAATGGCCAGAAGACATGAAAGTGTCACTAGAAGGATGTGGACGTGGGCTCCGGGACTGTTGATGATGACTGTGGTCTTTTGGGGTCATCAGGGGAATGGACAAGGCCAAGGTAAGTGCAAGGATGTTCTAATTCTTTGAGAGTTGGATGCAAATTTCACTTTATGATGAAATTATGTGAGTCTTTGGTTTGACGTTTAAGCAATTTGTTGTAATCTTCCGCCAGGTTTTTGTTACAGGATATTGTAATGCCTCTGCACCAGTTAAATTGAAATAGAGTTAGGTGTGAGTAAATGCATCAAAATTGAGGCCATCTGTCCGAAATTGGCTTTTTTCTGTTGGAATTCATTATATATATATGGAATTCTGTTGGAATTCATATATATATATATGAATATATATATGTACATATGTATATGAATATATATATGTACATATGTATATGAATATATATATGTACATATGTATATGAATATATATGTACATATGTATATGAATATATATGTACATATGTATATGAATATATATAAGTACATATGTATATGAATATATATATGTACATATGTATATGAATATATATATGTACATATGTATATGAATATATATATGTACATATGTATATGAATATATATATGTACGTATATGAATATATATGTACGTATATGAATATATATGTACGTATGTGAATATATATGTACGTATGTGAATATATATATGTATATATATATGAATATATATGTATATATATATGAATATATATATGTATATATATATGAATATATATGTATATATATGAATATATATATGTATATATATATGAATATATATGTATATATATGAATATATATGTATATATGAATATATATGTATATATATATGAATATATATATGTATATATATATGAATATATATGTGTATATATATGAATATATATGTGTATATAGATGAATATATATGTGTATATAGATGAATATATATGTGTATATAGATGAATATATATGTGTATATAGATGAATATATATGTGTATATATATGAATATATATATGTGTATATATATGAATATATATATGTGTATATATATGAATATATATATGTGTATATATATGAATATATATGTGTGTATATATGAATATATATGTGTGTATATATGAATATATATGTGTATATATATATGAATATATATGTGTATATATATATGAATATATATGTGTATATATATGAATATAGATATGTGTATATATATGAATATAGATATGTGTATATATATGAATATAGATATGAGTATATATATGTATAGATATGAGTATATATATGTGTATATATATATGAATATATATGTGTGTATATATATGAATATATATATGAATATATATATGTATATGAATATATATATGTATATGTATATATATGTATATGAATATATATGTATATGAATATATATGTATATGTATATGAATATATATATATGAGTATATGTATATGAATATATATATATGAATATATATATATACACCAGATATATATATCACTATTACAGAGAAACAGTTGTCATGCTGCATTTTTCGGAAAGATGGCTTCAATTTTGATGCATTTACTCACACCTAACTCTATTTCAATTTAACTGGTGTAGAGGCATTACAATACCCTGTAACAAAAACCTGGCGGAAGATTACAACAAATTGCTTAAACGTCAATATATATATATGGTATTATGAGGCTACGTGTGTGTGTGTGTTTTGGGGGGGTGGGTATGCATGTGAGTTTGTGTGTGTGGTATTTTACAAGAACACGTAGCATATAAAGTTGTTGTGATTTTGAAGAAAAGTTTTTGGATGTTTGTTTCTTTTCTTTAGGGTTTTTATGTTTTACATTTTAAAATTTCAAGAACCTATTCTTAAAGGATGTGATGTTCTTTGGAAATTAAATGAAAAAACGTGACGTTTCTCATTCTTCTGTCAAGCGTATTTAGGGGAAATTAATGATAGAGTGGAGCTGCAAGTTTGTGGCATCCTGAAATGTCTGTTGGAGAGTAGAAAAGGGCCATAGATTTTGTAATAAGGTTTTCAATATTGAGTTGATCAATAGCTGTATGGAGTGGTTTGTGCCAAATCTAGTATCTGTGAATGTATTTTGTGATAAGTATTGTATTATTTTTGGAGGTGTGTTGCCTGCTCAGATACAAATTGCAATTCTGTATTTTATGTGATAAAACATCCTGACACCCCTGAAATTTTCTTTTCCTTTTGGGTCAAGTATATTTGGCATTGATTTTCTGCATTTTCAAGGCTTGAAATGAAATCTGTGAGCAGGAAGTTCACAGAGTTTATTTCAAGGGATAGGTATATTTCTAGAGATAAAATTGAAAGCGTGCAGTGTTATTATATAATTGTGATGAAGTTGAGCTTTGTTAGTTTGAAGTATCTAATAAAGTTTAACACTTTTTAAAAGATCCTTCAAAAAGGGCAGTTTTCTTGCCATATGTAATATTGTTCAATGAATTTTTGAAATGAAATAGATATTTTTCAAAACCACAAGTGCATGTGTGCCTTTGTATATGAATGGTTGTGTATACATGTAAGCAGATAATACATTTTGTTAATTAAGATCAGCTTTGATTTTAATTTTTCTTTCATGCCAGAGTTTATATTAGCATTTAATAGAATTCTCATTTTTATTTTTTGTGATAAAACTAATGTAAAATATATTTAATACACATAGTATTTTCACCAAAGGTCTAAAACAAGAATATGTAGACAGTAGCTATGTTGGATTTCTGTGGCTATAGAGTTGTTTATTTCTCTGGTAATGTGTAGAGTTATTACAATGCAGCATGACAACTGTTTCTCTGTAATAGTGATCCAACATGACGTGTAGTATTACACAGGGTTGCTAAAACAAGAATATGTAGACAGTAGCTACATTGGGTTTCTGTGGCTACAAGAGTTGTTCATTTCTCTGGTAATGTGTAGAATTACTAAAATGCAGCATGACAACTGTTTCTCTGTAATAGTGATCCAACATGACGTGTAGTATTACACAGGGTTGATAAAACCTTCCTCTGACCATCATTTCCAGTAATTGTGGCTTGTTTTAGATGAGGAATAGGTTATTAAATATTTAAAATATTTGAAAAAAATAGGTATCTTCTCTCTTATTTACCCAAAAAACCCTTTTATTTACTCAGTATTGATTGCTCAAATATTCTATCCTTCACTGGGGACCATCATTTATTAAAAAATGGCCTGAAATCAATTCCAAGTCTAGCTGCAGTGAAGCTTCTAGTGGGAAATGAAAGTTAAGTAATTTGTTTTCTTTCTAAAAGGATAAATTAAAATAGACAATGATTCAAAGAACAAAACAACTTAATAGAAAACATAATGGAATGCTTTGATATTATCATTCAGGGAATTTTGCTTCCTTTGTGGTAGCTAGATTGAGTTAACGAGATTGCTTAGGTGTAATGAGCAAATCTTATAATTGCAAGTATAACCCAAGCTGCATATCATCATTTAGATCAATAAGCCTCATTAAATATTAAATATTACCTTTTAACTTTTATGCAATTAAGCAGAATTTAAAAATAAAAGTTTTAAAAATTAAAGTTTTTATTACTAAGTATCTTTTAAAATACAAATCTCATAGCTCATTATTATTGTCAAGAAAAGAATACATGAAAATTTATAAATAAGGTTTTCTCTCTAGTAAGTTTACAGTCTTGCATTAAATATTGGTTATTGGAACCCGCAATGTCCAAGATTATGATTAAGTATCAATGAAGTATGACTCTTGCAGCAAATATGCATGCAAATGTTATAAGATTATTTTCACATTATTTCACATAATTTCTTAAGCGTAATAGTATAAGTAAATTATACTTTCTACACAAGCTCTTCATATATATGAATAGACTATGTTCTAAATGTTTAAGTCATTGGGAAATCCCAATGTTCCTTCCTGAGAAACCGTGTGAGAAATTGTACCTAAGCTAAAAAAATAGAAGACAAAAATCAATTTAACGAGGAATGTAGATTAATATCATAGTATTTTCTCAACTGTGTGCAACCACTACTTATAAAAAATGATATAAGAAATGCAGTCTGAAATCTGAATTCTAAATAACAATGTAGGGCCATTATCCCTCTGGGACCCTTAGGGTCAAAATAAGAGAAAAGGGATGAATGGTGGGTTGGAAGTAAGTCAATGATCCTTGTCAATTTTTTGTATCTGTCAAGAAAAGCATCTGCTTGAGGACATCCATTTTCCTGCTTCTGAGTTACAGAATAATAGTTGCCTATCCTGAATGTAACATTCCCTGACACGGACTCTGTGTCTATGCTGCTTAGGTGGTTTGTGCATGAGAAAGTGTTTAACATCTGAAAATGGAGACAATCCTTAGAGAAAGATACATATGAATTTTAAAAGGAAATATACCTACGATAGAAATGAAACAAATAGCATAAATATCTAGCTGTATTTTGTCTTTTTGGTAACTGTTACAATATATACATTTTCAAACAACTAAGTTCAGCACTGACTTCGGGAGAATCTAGATAAAACTGAATTGACATATAATAAGCATGGGTGTAATTAATAGCACAGCAGGCAAAACCATGGGGGTATTTCCTGAGAAAGAGGGACTATAGAGAGGCACCAGAAAACCCAGCTCATTTGCAGGATTCTGGGGAGTGTCAGGAGCAGTTATTATATTCAGAACTGAGAATTTATTTCTAACTCAGCAACCCGTAGTTCTGACTGAGGTGCGGTGGTGCAATCATAGCTCATCACAGCCCCAAACTCCTAGGTTCATATGGTCCTCTCATCTCAGCCTCCTGATAGCTATGACCACAGGTGTGCACTACTATGCCCAGCTAGTTTATTTTATATTTTGTTTTCATTTCATTTGTAAAGACTGGGTCTTGCTATGTTGCCCAGGCAGGTCACGAACTCCTATCTTCAAGCAGTCCTCTAACCTAGGCCTCCCTAAGTACTGAGATTATAGGCATGAGCCATTGCATCTGGCTCAAAAGTATTTCTGTCTTAGTGGCTTTAGCAAAGAAGTGCCATTTTGGGGACATATACAATGGTGTGCTGTTTGGGAGTGATACAAAAATAATTATAAGAATGGAATGAATATGTCAGTATGTTTTCAAAAGCAAGTTATCCCAAGTTTTTAAACAAGCATAATTTTAGAGTTTTTGTAACTAACTTAGGGTTTAAATGTAGCAAAAATTTTAAACATTATCATGAATACACATAAAATTTTAATCAATTTGGTTTCCACGATGAATTTACATGCTTAAATTCCTAATTTCAAGTTGCTGCTAGATATGAGAAAGTTTGAAATTTTGAAGAAGGAAGTGGTGCTTACAAATGTAGCAAACTTAAATTTTGAGGACAATTTAATTTAACTTCCATTTTTATGACCAGATTTTGGGTCAGCTATTAAGCATTCAAAAAATAAAATCTGATAATATCTGGCAATTCCAATTTTCAGTTTTATTGATCTTCACCATGAAATAATATTTAAGTTAAGGGGCAAAATTTTGGAAAAGCAGATCACTTTGTTGTCCTATTTAGCAGGTTCTCAAATTCTGCCATCTTGGAATCATTGCAAGTAATTATAACAAGACAATATCTTGTATTTTGTATTTCATTGTTACACGTCCAATTTTTCTCTAGAGATATCAGAGAAAACCTACTCAAGAAGGAAAGGTTAGATAAACAGCCCTCTCTCTCTGTCTTTGCCTCCATTTGGTTCCTTCCAATTGTTTCCCAGTGCATTTCAAAGTTACTTTTTTTGTTCTCTTCATTTTCTCTTTCATTCCAGAAATTTAAGTGATTATGTAATTCTTTTGACAGCTGAAGGTGGTATCCGACTTTGAATTAAAGGTTTACAGCTACAGCTTTTCAATTAGAAAATCTCAGATCATGTGATCTATGAGTTTTAATATCTTAGGATCACTACCAGTAAGGAATAATCACTTTGAAAAACCTTAATGCTACCTAGAGTTTGTGTTTTGTGAGGTTGCTTGGTAAATTATTTTCATTTGATAATTGAATATGGCTTCAAGAGAGGTGAGCTCAGACATTTGGCAATGAATATTGAATGTGTATTCCAAGAGACATGACCTTAAAATATCATCAAGCTAAGTAGCAGTGAAATTGAACTCTGCTGTATTACAGAAGTCAGTGTTTCTTACATCTTTATGATATATAAATATTTTTACATTGTGGTAGATAATAATTTGTATGGAAAAAATTAATTGAATTTAATTTATCCTATGGCAGAATTATGTTACATGGGTCATTTTAGTTTTGGATTTAAGCACCTTAAAATTATAAATGCAAATATTCAACACATAAAACCCACATGAATACACACTCCCAAACATTTGAAATCCTAACAGTCATTTCTAACAGCTTTTTCCTACAAAAGAAGTCAGCTATTCTTAGAGATTACATGCATTCCCATAGCTTGAGAGGTTCACACTATAAGGTAAACAGAGAAAGTATTACAGCAGTTTAAGAATACCAGTGGATTTACTTTAAAGACAATATACTTTTGAATTACTTGTCTTCAAAATTTAGTTTCTTGAGAAAATTATCTGTGTAGATTAATCATGCATTTCAGATACTTTCCAGACATCTGAATGTTGTTTTCTTAAAAGTAGTCAGCAAGCCTTTTTATGCAGTCTGCATGGGAGATAGTAAGAGATGTGTATGCTGTGTATCTACTAGTAGAGATTTGTTTTTGAGTGCTTCCTTAAAAAATTATTTTTTCTGAAGAAGGGGATTTCTTTTTTATAATTTAGATTAGATGATTTTAAATGTTTTTATGTTTTAACCTCTCTTTCTGATCATCAGGGTCATTGCCATGGAAACAATGCAAGTTATAGCATATTTCATTTTTATAAGGAAAGAAGTTGATAATTTAGACTTTTTTCTTTTACTAAATTGAATTACATCACTCAATATTTGGATGGCATTAATTCACAATAGTAACACAAAGTATCTTACTATTCAACATAATAAAGTATGATTTCTTTCACATTTATTTAACTTAATTTGTCCTGTAAGATACAACTCCTAATGAAGGTTTTCTCATCCTCTGAAGCTGAATTTATTTAGGAAAAATATTTTAAATACCATCCCAAGTGGTATAACTATTTTTATTGAGCTTTGATGTTCTATTTGAACATATTTGAAGACTACAAGCACTCAATTTAGAATTAAGATTTCATTTGGAGATTTTGGTTGTATTTGAAATCTGTTGTGGAATTCAACATGAAGAATAGGTAAATTTAGTAGATGTCATTGTCTATGACGCATTTTAGTCATATCTCTCTGCCTATATGTAAAGATGAATAGAAATAATTGGCATAAACAGGAAAAAAGAAGTAAAGTGGTAGGATCAGATGTGAGAAATATATAAGCTAAGATTTGTTTGTTTGTTTGTTTGTTTGTTTTTTGTTTTTTTGAGACAGAGTCTTGCTCTGTTGCCCAGGCTGGAGTGCAGTGACACAATCTTGGCTCACTGCCGCCTCCACCTCCCAGGCTCAATGGTTCTCCTCCCTCAGCCTCCC
The DNA here is from genome assembly GCF_000001405.40 of Homo sapiens. Classification (NCBI taxonomy): domain Eukaryota; kingdom Metazoa; phylum Chordata; class Mammalia; order Primates; family Hominidae; genus Homo; species Homo sapiens. Next base: position 10,711,116 of record NC_000022.11, read on the forward strand.
GAGTAGCTGGGATTACAGGTACGCATCACCACACCCAGCTAATTTTTGGATTTTTAGTAGAGACTAGGTTTTACCATGTTGGCTAGGCTAGGCTAGTCTCAAACTCCTGAGTTCAGGTGATCCACCCACTTCAGTCTCCCAAAGTGCTGGGATTTCAAGTGTGAGCCACCAGGGCCAGCCTAAGCTAAGATATTCTAGAAGCGAATAATAGTAAAATATAATGTAAATTGTTTAAAATTAATCTGTATATGAAATGTTTTCTAGGACTTTCCTGCCAGAAAAGTAGAAATAGAATGGCAGAAGGAAAGAGGTTCCTTCTACAAGCAGGCACACATCCTATTTCACTTTAACCTGTGATCAGTCTCATAACCATCTCCTGGTATGAAGTGCTAAAACTGTGCTTTAAGAATAACTTAAGTCCTTTATGTACAAACTAAAGCATGAGAGCCTGAACCTTGGAAACCAAGAAATTCCAAAAAGCCTTATGTGTGAGACTGGGTGCCACAGATCTTGGCAGAAATTACTGCTTATTCTTAATTCTTATTGTTCCTTTCTAACACTTCAACTTATAATGCCAATATCTACCTCAGCCTAAAGACAAGCTCTAGAATCACTTGTGTTACTTATTACATTTCTTTTAAAAAACTCATGAATAACACATGAATTTCAAAGTTGCCAACTGAGATTCCAAGGACTTAAAAAAAAAAACCTGGCACCTTTGCATTATAAAGGCTGTACACAGTGTTCATAGTGTTTGTCTTTAAGGGACATGCCTCATCCATTAGCAACTTTTCTTCCTTAAATCAGCATATCTTGCCTAAAAATGTTTTCTCAAAAGTTAGGAAGCATTAAGATTTACAGATTATTCTATCACATCTTAATCTACTTATCAACTTTAGCATTATCAAAGCATGAACTGTTTTGGGTTTTCATAGTTAATTATGTTTGTTATAATAATTGGGATGCAATTGTTTTTCTTACGATTATTTTGTACTTGCTTTTCTTATGGTAACTTCTGATGCTTGTTTGTAAGATCTTCCTCTCTTTTCTCCATCTGGTTATCTTCTTACTTTCTGTCCTTTAACTCAGATATCACCCACACTGTGTGTCTTTCTGAATTGCTTCTTATTTAACTGTTGCTTCTAATAGTTTACATACCTCCTCCTATACCACAATATTGATATTTCTCAAACTGCACTATAATGCTGGTTTGTGTCTTTACTTATTTATAAGCTCCTTGATAATTTGTATTATATATTTGTATATTCAAAAAATACTTATGAAGTGTTTACTTTGGGTCAGGAATTATTGAGTGAAGGAAATTGACCCAAACTCTGCCATCATGAAGCTCACATTCTAACTTAGGGAGACAGATAACAGACAGTGAGCCACATAAATATGTGAAGTATCGTAAGTTAGATGGTGAAACGTAATCCTGGATGGGGATCAGATAATTTTGATAGGGTAATTTTTAACTGGAGAGTCAAGAAAGGCCACACAGAGAAGATGGCAATTGGAAGAACAAGGTAGTGAGAACTGCTGAGTCTGGAGCAAAACACACAATTTGGAGTAGTAGAAGATTCCAGAAGTAACAGAATAGAGGTAAAGAAGTGGGAATTGTGTGGAGTCTTACTTGCTGTTGTAAGGACCTTGGCTATGGTTTGAAGTGAGGTGGAAAGTTGGTAGGGACCTTAGTTTTCTTTCTAATAATTCATTATGAATTTTGAATGGTCACTATTAAAGACTCAATAATTTTGCTTTATTACTCTTGCAATTGACTACAAAATAGTGTATTGAAGAAATGTTAAATTCTAATTTAAACTGATTGAAATAGGTTATCTTTTTATATTTCTCATTACTGAATATCTCATTTTTAATTAATTTGAAAGCATTCTAGAATAGTGAGCCAATGCAATTTAGCATAATGCATAACTTATTATTCATCAGATTTAGGTATTTAACTGAAGATGCTAATTAGAAAAGTAACTTGTTCTGTCGGATGATTTTGATAAAGCTACTTTCAAATGATTATCACATCCATTGATTTCATATTAAGTTGTGTTTCTGGAACCCAAATTTAGGCAGTGCTAATGAGTTAATATCTCTAAGTGGATACCTTTTATCTCTACAGTCAAGGATACTTGAAAGTGGAAAAACATACTGGCTTCAAGTCTTGGGAACTAGGACTTACCAGAAATGTTTTGGTTTGTTTTGTTTCCTGGCAGAATTGTCTTCTTGGAAAGATGGTGTTTCCTTCTACCAGGAAAAAATTGATCTTATGCTGCTTTACTTTAATGCTTTGCTTTTGTCAAAATAGTGTCTTCTTAGGAAAATTAACCTATCATAATATAATGAAAACAGAAATGCTGAAACACAAAATGATGCACATGTTAATATTGAGTAGGAAGCATCAAGGGACATGAGAAGAGAGGGAAGCAAAGAGAGAGAGAAGAGAAATATATAGTATAACACAAATTAGTAAAAAGGATTAGCATATACATGTAGTCAATAAGTCAATAAATGGCTATTTATAGAACGCCTACCAGGCACTAGGGGATATAGCAGTGAAGAAGGCAAAGACACAATTGGCTATGCTGTAGTGAGGAGGGAAAGAGGATGAAGACATACAAATACCTAAACAAAGCAATGGTGTGAAGGGCTATAAGGTACACTACTATGAAGACGATTACATGTGATAACATGGTTGAGTAAAACTGGCAAGTAGGAAGGCACTGATCAGGCTATAGGTATTTCAGAGAATTTTTCTCTCTGAGGAGGTAATATTTCATTTGGGAGTTGAGTGGAGACAAATAGGAAGGTACTTTGAAGATCTGGGGTGCTCTGAGTGGAAAGAAAGGAAGATATAAAATTCTGTAATTTAAAAAGACAGCTTGATAGTTTCTTACAAAGAAAAGAAGGCCGGTTTGGCTAAAATGTCCATGAAGGAAGAGCATGGAGAGATATTACATGAGTGCCCTCAGGGACCAAATTTAGATCTTATATCAAAGTGTGAATATAAATTAACTACATTGAAAAGTGTATGATGGATATGTGATATGATGAGGTTAGCTCTTAGGAGGGTGTACTATTGTGGAAGGGTACAGTAGTGAAGGAAGGGGTTCATTTAGCACCTGTCCAGTTGAAGGATGATGGTGGTTGGGATTATGATTGTAGCAATAAAGTTGGAGAAAATCAGTTGAGATTGGAAGTTGATTTGAAGATGATTGAATTTACTGAGCAAGAATTATATCAAGGTATTTGGATTTAGGGACATGGGGGATTATGGTCACTTTTAGTGATATGGCAACATCTTGATGACATGAGGCAGTTTGCAAGTGACAGAGGTGTGGGTAGGTGCATATGTGTGATTGATTTTACATTTTTTTAATCTTAAATTAAGACGCTAGTTAGAATCCAAGTGGAGACATCAAGTAGGCACTGACAAGTTGACTTTGCTAGAGATGTGAGTTAGATAATCGTAGCCTATAGATCATGCCTAAAGTCATGAATCTAGGTGAGGGGTTGGCAAACTATTATAGCCCATGAGCCAGATCTGGTCTTCTGCCTGTTTTTGTGTGGCTCATGAGTTATAAGTACGTGTATCATTTATAAGTCTAAAATGTAAAATATAGGGAAATTTTTCAGCAGGGAAAGTTCCATAAATTTGCCTCTTGGCAACACAAAGCCTGCACTATTTACTGTCTGGCTCTTTGTCAAAAATGTTGCTGACTCCTGATCTAGAAGAAACCCTGTGGGGAGAGAGTGTTGATAGAAAAGAGAGAAGCATCAGAGTGGAAATTAAAATTATGTCAACTGAAGTGTATAGGGTAGAGAATTTAAGCCTGAGTATAACAGTAAGAGATTAAAATAACAATAAATTCATTATCAGCATGATCAATAAAACCTTTGGGGGTAAAAAGGAACTATCTTCATCAGACTTTCACTCACTCATACAAACATCTTAGGCAGGAAATATAACTTGTTTGAAGATCTGAGATAAGGCTAATGTAGTTTGGACAAAGAAAGCCAATGGGAGGATGACATTGCATCTGGCCAAAGATTTAGGGAAGAGCCAAATACTTCAGGCTTTTTAAAGTGATCTTTAGATAAAGAGGAAGTCGTCAAGGCATTCCAAAGTTGGAAGATCAAATCACATCTGATGGGAAAAATCTGGTCTGGCCGTATGTGCATCTAGGATGTAAGGAAACCAACACGGATGTGAAGTTCAAATTGTCCATTGCAAATAATAAAATGAAGGCCCTGGGTAACCTTGGCAAGGGCAGATTTGGTAGAAAATCCTTATTGGAATGGGCTTAAGCATTAACGGGAATAAGGATCTAGCTGTTGTGTTTGGTGGAATTTTATCAGTCTTTTTGTTGTGTATGATATATAGATGGTCAAAATAAAGAACTTCTACATTTTTGGTTTTTGTTTTATTTTAATTGAGAGTTGAATTAAAAATAAGAAACTTTTATTTTCAAAATTGGAGACAGTGTTTAAAAAGTATAGAGTAGGGCTAGAAAAAAACATAAAACTCTCCTGGTGAGGAGAATGCTAATCATGACTCTAATAATAATAAAATACTTCTCTGATAACTTAATTTTTTTACTGCTTCATTATTTATGTAGGTATGGGAAGTTGTACCCTAGCCACATGCCAATTCACCTGGTGAACTTGCTCTTCATAGTGGCCCAAATATTTCCTTCTATCTTTAGCCTTCCGTGGTTTCTCACATGGACTATTGGCTCTTCCTACTTGAGCCTTCTGGTAGTACCCTGTAAGAGACATGCTACTCCATGACAACAGGCAGCACGCTGTAGGGGAATTGCCATACCTGTCAATCACTATCTCTAGAATGTGGCCTTTCATGAGCCCTGAGATTTCATACTGTTTCTCTGAGCTGTAACAACATGTATATTGAAAAAATAAACATGTTCTTCTATCTTTAATATTTTATATCTTGTAATTTGAATATCCCATTTTCATTATACTACTTAGCTGCTAAGTTATGTTATGAAAACAAGTTTTAATTATCTGCAAACACCTTCAAATCTAGTCCTTACCAGTGAAGACTGATGTCTGGTTAGCATCTGTTAGGACATTTATTTCCATACAGTATTATAGCGCACTTTTGTTATTGAAATGATTACTGTTTAGTTGGAAACAATGCACCCTGAGGACTGGAATGATAAATGTGTAACTCTTACACAAAGATAATATTTTTAGATTTTTGTATTTAAAATACTGGTTATCAAAAGAAAAAGCCAGATGTTATTTGTTTATGTTTCTGCCTGAGGTACTGAATCTATTTCAAGCCATATTTCTCAGTATTGATATACTTAATTTTGCTGAAATAATAACACACTGTCTTTAGCTACTTTTTTTCTCAGTATGTCTCCTTGTCGCTCACCATTTCTGCCTCATCTCACTTCTCATCTTTATTTCTTTTTCTTTGGTCTACTTTTACTTTAGGGATTCTTTCAATTTAGAAGTTTTCTTGTTTTCTAATAATTACTATTATTCTTGGATATACACAGATATCGTTTTCCATTTCATTTGTGAATCTATCTCAGAGGCATTTTGTGTGTGCCTTTTACTCATAGCTTCTCAGAAGTCCCTTTTGAGGTTACTGATTTAACATGTCACGTACTATAAGGTTTGCATGGCATGGTGGCAGCTGACCTTCGCCTTTACATGGATTGAAATGTTCACTCAACATGGACTGCTAAGATTATTTTTTCCTTAAACATTTGAATCCATTCAATGTCATTCCATTCCAATCAATGCTATTCCATTTGAGTCCATTCCATTCCATTCGATTCAAGTCCATTCCATTCAATCCCATTAAATTCTACTCCATTCCATTCTTTTCCATTCCATTCCATTCCATTTGAACCCAATGAATTCCACTGCATTCAATTGAAGTCCATTCCATTCCATTCGGGTCCATTCCCTTCAATTCCATTCGTGTCAATTCCATTCTATTCCATTCGAGTCCATTCCATTCTATTCAATTCCATTAGAGTCCATTCCATTCCATTCCATTCCACTCGAGTCGTTTTCGTTCCTTTCAGTTACTTTCGAGACCATTCCATTCCATTGGAGTCCATTCCATTCCCTTCCGTTCGATTCCATTCCATTCCATTCCATTCCATTCCATTCCATTCCATTCCATTCCATTCCATTCCTTTCGAGTCCATTCCATTCCATTCCATTCCTTTCGAGTCCATTCAGTTCCATTCCATACAATTTGAGTCCATTCCCTTCCATTCCATTCCATTGCATTAAATTCGAGTCCATTCCATTCCATTCCATTCCATTTCATTCGAGTCCCTTTCATTCCGTTCCATTCAATTCGAGTCCATTCCTTACCATTACATTCCGTTCGACTTGAGTCCATTCCATTCCATTCCATTCCATTCGAATCCATTCCACTCTATTCCATTCAAGTCAAATCCATTCCATTCCATTCCACTCGAGTCCTTTCCATTCCATTCGAGTCCATTCCATTCCACTCCATTCCTTTTTTCCATTCCTTTCCTCCATTCCTTTCCACTCCATTACAGTCCATTCCTTTGAATTCCATTCCATTCCATTCGTGTCCATTCCATTCCATTCCATTAGAGTCCATTCCATTTCATGCAATTCCATTCGTGTCCATTCAATTCCATTCCACTTGAGTCCATTCCATTCCATTCGAGTCCATTCCATTCCATTCATTACATTCGAGTCCATTCCATTGCATTCGAGTCCTTTCCATTCCATTTCATTCGTGTCCATTCCATTTCATTCGAGTCCCTTTCACTCCATTCCATTCCATTCCATTCGAGTCCATTCCTTACCATTACATTCCGTTCGACTCGAGTCCATTCAATTCCATTCCATTTCATTCAAATCCATTCCACTCCATTCCATTCGAGTCCATTCCATTCCATTCCATTCCATTAAATTCCATTCGATTACTTTCCATTCCATTCCATTCGAATCCATTCCATTCCACTCGTGTCCATTCCATTCCATTCGAGTCCATTCCATTCCATTTCATTCGAGTGCACTCCATTCCATTCCATTCTATTCCATTCTAGTCCATTCCATTCCATTCCATTCCAGTCCATTCCATTCCATTCCATTCCATTCCATTCCATTCCATTCCATTTGTGTCCATTCCATTCCATTCCATTCGAGCCCATTCCTTTCCATTATATTCAATTCGAGTGTATTCCATTTCATTCCTCTTTAGTCCATTCCATTCCATTCCATTCGACTCCATTCCAATCCATTACATTCCATTCGAGTCCATTCCATTTCATTCAAGTCCTTTCCATTCCATTTCATTCAAGTCCATTCCATTCCACTCCTTTCTATTCAATCCAAGTCCATTCCTTTCCATTCCACTCCATTCCATTCCATTTCTTTCCATTCCATTCCATTCCATTCCATTCCACTTCCTTCCATTCCATTCGTGTCCGTTCAATTCCATTCCATTCGAGTACATTCCATTCCAATCCATTCTATTCCATTCGAGTCCATTCTATTCCTTTCCACTTGAGTCCATTCCGTTGCATTCCATTCGAGTCCATTCCATTCCATTCGAATCCATTCCATTGCATTCGAGTCCTTTCGATTCCATTTCATTCGAGTCCATTCTATTCCATTCCATTCTATTCCATTCAAGTCCATTCCGTTCCATTCCACTCCATTCCATTCCCTTCTATTCCAGTCCATTCCATTCCATCCCATTCCATTCCATACGTTTCATGTCCATTCCATTAGCGTCCATTCCTTTCCATTCTATTCCAATCGAGTCAATTCCATTCTATTTCATTTGTGTCCATTCCATTGCTTTCCATTCAATTCCATTCGATGCCATTCCATTCCATTCCATTCCATTCCATTCCATTCCATTCTATTCCATTCCAGTCCATATCACTCCACTCCATTCCATTCCATTCCTTTCGAGTCTATTCAATTCAATTGCTTTCCATTGGAGTCCATTCCATTCTTTTCAGTTCCATTCTATTTCATTCATGTCCATTCCATTGCATTCCATTCCATTCGAGGCCATTTCATTCCATTACGTTCCGTTCCATTCTGTTCCGTTCTGTTCCATTCCATTCCATTCCTCTCCATTCTTGTCCATTCCATTCCACTTCATTCCATTCGACTCCATTCCATTCTTTTCCATTCGGGTCCATTCCACTCCATTCCATTCGAGTCCATTGCATTCTATTTCATTCCATTCGAGTCCATTCCTTTCTATTCCATTCGAGTCAATTCCATTCCTTTCCATTCGTGTGCATTCCATTCCATTCCATTCCGTTTCACTCGAGTGGATTCCTTACAATTCCATTCCATTGGAGTCCCTTCCGTTCCATTTGAGTCCATTCCATTCCATTCCATTCGAGTCCATTCCATTCCATTCCAATCCATACCTTTTGGGTCCATTCCATTCCATTCCATTCGAGTCCTTTAAATTACATTCCATTACACTCGATTCCATTACACTCCATTCAATTCGAGTCCATTCAATTGCACTCCATTAGATTCTAGTCCATTCCTTTCTATTCCATTTGAATCCGTTCCATTCCATTTGAGACCATACCATTCCATTCCATTCCACTGGAGTCCATTTCATTCCATTCGAGTCCATTCTATTCCATTCCATTCCATTTAAGTCCATTCCATTCCATTCCATTTGAGACCATCCAATCCGAACCCATTCCATTCGAGTCCATTCCATGTCATTCAATTCGAAATCATTCCATTCCATTCCATTCCATTCCATTCCATTCGAGTCCCTTCCATTCCATATCACTCGTGTCCATTCCATTACACTTAATTCCATTCCGGTCCATTCTATTCAATTCCATTTGAGTCAATTCCATTCCATTCCATTTGAGTCCATTAAATTGCATTCCATTCGAGTCCATGCCATTCCATTCCACTCCATTCCATTCGATACCATTCACTCCCATTCCATTACATTCTATTCCATTCCATTCCATTTCATTCCACTCAAGTCTTTTCGATTCCATTCCATTCCTTTCGAATACATTCCATTCCATTCGAGTCCTTTAAATTCCTTTCCATTCGATTCCATTCGATTCCATTCCATTCTATTCCATCAGAGTCCATTCCACTAAATTCCAATCTATTCCATTCGAGTCCGTTCCTTTCCATTCCATTCAATTCGTGACCTTTCCATTCCATTGGAGTCCATTCCATTCCATTCTTTTTAAATTCATTCCATTCCATCCCTTTCTATTCCTTTCAAGTCCATCCCAATCCATACCATACCATCCTATTGCATTCCATTCCATTCCATTCCATTCCATTCCATTCCATTCCATTCCATTCGTGTCCTTTTCATTCCATTCCATTCGAGTCCATTGCATTCCAGTCGATTCCAGTCCATTTAATTCCTTTCCATTACATTCGAGTCCATTCCACTCCATTGCATTTGAGTCCATTCCATTCCATTCCATTCGACTCCATTCCTTTCTATTCCATTCAACTCAATTCCATTCCATTCCATTCGAGTGCATTCCATTCCATTCCATTCCATTCCATTCCACTCGAGTCGTTTCCATTCCATTCCATTCCATTGCATTTCAGTCCTTTACATTCCATTTAATTTGAGTCTTTTCCTTTCCATTCCATTCTATTCCATTCAAGTCCATTCTGTTCCATTCCACTGCATTCCATTCCCTTCCATTCCAGTCCATTCCATTCCATCCCATTCCATTCCATACCTTTCATGTCCATTCCATTCCATTCGAGTTCATTCCATTCCATTCTATTCCATTCGAGTCCTTCCATTTCATTGCATTAGAGTCCATACCATTAGATTCCAATCCAGTAAATTCCACTCTATTCCATTCGAGTCCATTCCATTGCATTCCATTCCATTCCATTTGAGTACATTCCATTGCTTTTGAGTCCATTCCATTCCATTCCAATCCATTCCATTCTATTCCATTCCATTTTATTCCATTCCATTCCATTCCATTCCATTCCATTCCATTCCATTCCATTCGAGTCCATTCCATTCCATTCCATTGGAGTGCATTCCATTCCATTCCATTCCATTCCACTCGAGTCGTTTCCATTCCATTCCATTCCATTCCATTGCATTTCAGTCCTTTACATTCCATTTAATTTGAGTCCTTTCCTTTCCATTCCATTCTATTCCATTCAAGTCCATTCTGTTCCATTCCACTCCATTCCATTCCCTTCCATTCCAGTCCATTCCATTCCATCCCATTCCATTCCATACCTTTCATGTCCATTCCATTCCATTCGAGTTCATTCCATTCCATTCTATTCCATTCGAGTCCATTCCATTCCATTGCATTAGAGTCCATACCATTAGATTCCAATCCAGTAAATTCCACTCTATTCCATTCGAGTCCATTCCATTGCATTCCCTTCCATTCCATTTGAGTACATTCCATTGCGTTTGAGTCCATTCCATTCCATTCTATTCCATTCCATTTTATTCCTTTCCATTCCATTCCATTCTATTCCATTCTGTTCCATTCGAGTCCATTCCATTCCATTCCATTCGAGTCCATTCCATACCATTACATTCCGTTTGACTCAAATCCATTGAATTCCATTCCATTCCGTTCGAATCCATTCCACTCCATTCCATTCGAGTCCATTCTATTGCATTCCATTCCACTAGAGTCCATTCTATTCCATTCGAGTCCTTTCTATTCCATATCATTCGAGTCCATTCCATTCCTTTCCATTCTATTCCATTCAAGTCCATTCCATTCCATTCTATCCCATTCCATTCCATTACAGTCCATTCTATTCCATTCCATTCCATTCCTGTCCATTCCATTCCATTCCATTCGAGTCTATTCCATTCCATTCTATTGCTTTCGAGTCCATTCCATTCCGTTTGAGTCCATTCCATTCCATTCCTTTTGAGTTATTCCATTCCATTCCATTCGAATCCATTCCACTCTATTCCATTCGAGTCAAATCCATTCCATTCCATTCCACTCGAGTCCTTTCCATTCCATTCGAGTCCATTCCATTTCACTCCATTCCTTTTTTCCATTCCTTTCCTCCATTCCTTTCCATTCCATTACAGTCCATTCCTTTCAATTCCATTGCATTCCATTCATGTCCATTCCATTCCATTCCATTAGAGTCCATTCCATTTCATGCAATTCCATTCGTGTCCATTCCATTCCATTCCACTTGAGTGCATTCCATTCCATTCCATTCGAGTCCATTCTATTTCATGCCATTCCATTCTATTCCATTTGGGTCCTTTACAATCCATTCCATTCGAGTCCATTACATCCCATTCCATGCAATTCGAGTGCATTCCATTCCATTCCATTCGAGTCCATTCCATTCCATTTCACTCGTGTCCATTCCATTCCATTCGAGTTCATTCCATTCCATTCTATTCCATTCAAGTGCATTCCATTCCATTCCATTCCATTCATGTCCATTCCATTCCGTTCCATTCGAGCCCGTTCCTTTCCATTATATTCCATTCGAATCTAATCCATTCCGTTCCCTTTATTCCATTCCATTCCATTCTATTCAAGTGCATTCCATTCCATTCCATTCCATTCCATTCCAATCCATTCCATTTCACTCCATTCCATTCCATTCGTGTCCATTCCATTCCCTTCCATTCGAGCCCATTCCTTTCCATTTTATTCCATTCGAGTCTATTCCATTCCATTCCATTCGATACCATTCCAATCCATTACATTCCATTCGAGTCCATTCCATTGTATTCAAGTCCTTTCCATTCCATTTCATTCGAGTCCATTCCATTCCACTCCATTCTATTCCATTCAATTCCATTCCTTTCCATTCCACTCCATTCCATTCCATTCCATTCCACTCCATTCCATTCCATTCCATTCCACTCCATTCCATTCCATTCCATTCCACTCCATTCCATTCCATTCGTGTCCATTCAATTCCATTCCTTTCGAGTACATTCCATTCCATTCCTTTCTATTCCATTCCAGTCTATTCAATTCCATTCCACTTGAGTCCATTCCGTTCCATTCCATTCGAGTCCATTCCATTGCATTCGAGTCCTTTCCATTCCATTTCACTCGTGTCCATTCCATTTCATTCGAGTCCCTTTCACTCCATTCCATTCCATTCCATTCGAGTCCCTTTCACTCCATTCCATTCCATTCCATTCGAGTCCATTCCTTACCATTACATTCCGTTCGACTCGAGTCCATTCAATTCCATTCAAATCCATTCCACTCCATTCCATCCGAGTCCATTCCATTCCATTCCATTCCATTCCATTAAATTCCATTCGATTACTTTCCATTCCATTCCACTCGAATCCATTCCATTCCACTCGTGTCCATTCCATTCCATTCGAGTCCATTCCATTCCATTTCATTCGAGTGCACTCCCTTCCATTCCATTCTATTCCATTCTAGTCCATTCCATTCCATTCCAGTCCGTTCCATTCCATTCCAGTCCATTCCATTCCACTCCATTCCATTCCATTTGTGTCCATTCCATTCCATTCCATTCGAGCCCATTCCTTTCCATTATATTCCATTCGAGTGTATTCCATTTCATTCCTCTTTAGTCCATTCCATTCCATTCCATTCGACTCCATTCCAATCCATTACATTCCATTCGAGTCCATTCCATTTCATTCAAGTCCTTTCCATTCCATTTCATTCGAGTCCATTCCATTCCACTCCTTTATATTCAATCGAAGTCCATTCCTTTCCATTCCACTCCATTCCATTCCATTCCATTCCATTCCACTTCCTTCCATTCCATTCGTGTCCATTCAATTCCATTCCATTCGAGTACATTCCATTCCATTCCATTCTATTCCATTCGAGTCCATTCTATTCCTTTCCACTTGAGTCCATTCCGTTGCATTCCATTCCATTCCATTCCATTCCATTAGAATCCATTCCATTGCATTCAAGTCCTTTCCATTCCATTTCATTCGAGTCCATTCTATTCCATTCCATTCTATTCCATTCAAGTCCATTCCGTTCCATTCCACTCCATTCCATTCCCTTCTATTCCAGTCCATTCCATTCCATCCCATTCCATTCCATACGTTTCATGTCCATTCCATTCCATTCCTTTAGCGTCCATTCCATTCCATTCTATTCCAATCGAGTCAATTCCATTCTATTCCATTTGAGTCCATTCCATTGCTTTCCATTCAATTCCATTCGATGCCATTCCATTCCATTCCATTCCATTCTATTCCATTCCAGTCCATATCACTCCACTCCATTCCATTCCATTCCATTCCTTTCGAGTCTATTCAATTCAATTGCTTTCCATTGGAGTCCATTCCATTCTTTTCAGTTCCATTCTATTTCATTCGTGTCCATTCCATTGCTTTCCATTCCATTCGAGGCCATTTCATTCCATTATGTTCCGTTCCATTCTGTTCCGTTCCATTCCATTCCATTCCATTCCTTTCCATTCTTGTCCATTCCATTCCACGTCATTCCATTCGACTCCATTCCATTCTTTTCCATTCGGGTCCATTCCACTCCATTCCATTCGAGTCTATTGCATTCTATTTCATTCCATTCGAGTCCATTCCTTTCTATTCCATTCGAGTCAATTCCATTCCATTCCATTCGTGTGCATTCCATTCCATTCCATTCCGTTTCACTCGAGCGGATTCCTTTCAATTCCATTCCATTGGAGTCCCTTCCATTCCCTTCGAGTCCATTCCATTCCATTCCATTCGAGTCCATTCCATTCCATTCCAATCCATACCTTTTGGGTCCATTCCATTCCATTCCATTCGAGTCCTTTAAATTACATTCCATTACACTCGATTCCATTACTCTCCATTCAATTCGAGTCCATTCAATTGCACTCCATTAGAATCTAGTCCATTCCTTTCTATTCCATTTGAATCCGTTCCATTCCATTTGAGACCATACCATTCCATTCCATTCCACTGGAGTCCATTTCATTCCATTCGAGTCCATTCTATTCCATTCCATTCCATTTAAGTCCATTCCATTCCATTCCATTTGAGACCATCCAATCCGAACCCATTCCATTCGAGTCCATTCCATGTCATTCAATTCGAAATCGTTCCATTCCATTCCATTCCATTCCATTCGAGTGCATTGCATTCCATATCACTCGTGTCCATTCCATTACACTTAATTCCATTCCGGTCCATTCTATTCAATTCCATTTGAGTCAATTCCATTCCATTCCATTTGAGTCCATTAAATTGCATTCCATTCCATTCCATTCGAGTCCATGCCATTCCATTCCACTCCATTCCATTCGAGTCCATTCACTCCCATTCCACTACATTCTATTCCATTCCATTCCATTTCATTCCACTCAAGTCTTTTCGATTCCATTCCATTCCTTTCAAATACATTCTATTCCATTCGAGTCCTTTAAATTCCTTTCCATTCGATTCCATTGCATTCTATTCCATCAGAGTCCATTCCACTAAATTCCAATCTATTCCATTCGAGTCCGTTCCTTTCCATTCCATTCAATTCGTGGCCTTTCCATTCCATTGGATTCCATTCCATTCCATTCTTTTTAAATTCATTCCATTCCATCCCTTTCTATTCCATTCAAGTCCATCCCAATCCATACCATACCATCCCATTGCATTCCACTCCATTCCATTCCATTCCATTCCATTCGTGTCCTTTTCATTCCATTCCATTCGAGTCCATTGCATTCCAGTCGATTTCAGTCCATTTAATTCCTTTCCATTACATTCGAGTCCATTCCACTCCATTGCATTCGAGTCCATTCCATTCCATTGCATTACATTCTATTCCATTCCATTCCATTCGAGTCCATTCCATTCCATTCGAGTGCATTCCATTCCATTCCATTCGAGTGCATTCCATTCCATTCCATTCCATTCCACTCGAGTCGTTTCCGTTCCATTCCATTCTATTCCATTGCATTTCAGTCCTTTATATTCCATTTAATTTGAGTCCTTTCCTTTCCATTCCATTCTATTCTACTCAAGTCTATTCTGTTCCATTCCACTGCATTCTATTCCCTTCCATTCCAGTCCATTCCATTCCATCCCATTCCATTCCATACCTTTCATGTCCATTCCATTCCATTCGAGTTCATTCCATTCCACTCTATTCCTATCGAGTCCATTTCATTCCATTGCATTAGAGTCCATACCATTAGATTCCAATCCAGTAAATTCCACTCTATTCCATTCGAGTCCATTCCATTGCATTCCATTCCATTCCATTTGAGTACATTCCATTGCGTTTGAGTCCATTCCATTCCATTCCAATCCATTCCATTCTATTCCATTCCATTTTATTCCTTTCCATTCTATTCCATTCCATTCCATTCCATTCGAGTCCATTCCATACCATTACATTCCGTTTGACTCAAATCCATTGAATTCCATTCCATTCCGTTCGAATCCATTCCACTCCATTCCATTCGAGTCCATTCTATTGCATTCTATTCCACTAGAGTCCATTCCATTCCATTCGAGTCCTTTCTATTCCATATCATTCGAGTCCATTCCATTCCTTTCCATTCTATTCCATTCAAGTCCATTCCATTCCATTCTATCCCATTCCATTCCATTACAGTCCATTCTATTCCATTCCATTCCATTCCTGTCCATTCCATTCGAGTCCATTCCATTCCATTCTATTGCTTTCGAGTCCATTCCATTCCGCTTGAGTCCATTCCATTCCATTCCTTTTGAGTTATTCCATTCCATTCCATTCCATTCGACTCCATATCTTTCCTTTTCATTCGAGTCCATTCCATTCCATTCCATTCTATTGCATTCAACTCCATTCCATTCCATTTGAGTCCATTCCATTCCATTCGAATCCATTCCTTTCTGTTCACTTCCATTTGAGTCCATTCCATTCCATTTCATTAGAGTCAATTCCGTTAGATTCCAATCCAGTAAATTCCATTCTATTCCATTCGAGTCCATTCCATTCCATTCCATTTGCATCCACTCCATTTCATTCCGTTCTATTCCAATCCATTCTGTTCCATTCTGTTCCCTTCCATTACGTTCCTTTCCATTCGTGTCCATTCCATTCCCTTGTATTCGAGTCCATTCCATTCCATTCGAGTTTATTTCATTCCATTGCATGCCATTCCGGTCCATTCCACTGCATTCCATTTCATTTGAGTCCATTCCACTGCATTCCATTTCATTCGAGTCCATTCCATTCCATTCCACTCGAGTTGATTCTATTCCATTCCATTCCTTTCGGGTCCATTCCATTTCATTTGAGTCCGTCCATTCCATTCCATTCCATTCCATTCCATTCCTTTTGTGTACATTCAATTGAACTGCATTCCATTCGAGTACATTTCATTCCATTTTATGCCATTCCATTCCATCGAGTCCATTCCATGCCATTCCATTTGAGTCCATTTCATTCCATTACATTCCATTCCATTCGAGTTCATTCCATTCAATTCCATTCCATTCCATTCCATTCAAATCCATTCGGCTGCACTCCATTCGAGTCCTTCCATTCCATTTGAGTCCATTCCATTCCATTCCATTCGAGTCCATTCCCTTCCATTCGAGTTCATTCCATTCCATTCCATTCGAGTCCATTCCATTCCATTCCCTTCCATTCCTTTTGATTCCATTCAATTCCATTCCTTTCCATTCGAGTCCATTAAATTCCATTCCATTCCTTTCGATTCCATTATACTCCATTCCATTCGAGTCCATTCCATTCCACTCCATTAGATTCGAATCCATTCCATTCTATTCCATTTGAATGCGTTCCTTTCCATTCCATTCCATTTGAGACCATACCATTCCATTCCATTCCACTGGAGTCCATTCCATTCCGTTCGAGTCCATTCAACTTCATCGCATTCGAGTCCATTCCATTCCACTCTATTCCATTTGAGTCCATTCCTTTCCATTCCATTTGAGTCCATTCCATTCTATTCCATTCGTGTCCATTCCATTCCACTCAAATCCATTCCATTCCATTCGAGCCAAATCCATTCCATTATATTCGAGTCCATTCTATTCCATTCCATTCCATTTGAGTCCATTCCATTCCATTCTATTTGAGACCATCCAATCCCAACCCATTCCATTCGAGTCCATTCCATGTCATTCGATTTGAAATCATTCCATTCCATTCCATTCCATTCTATTCCATTCCATTCGAGTCCATTTCATTCGTGTCCATTCCATTACACTTAATTCCATTCCAGTCCATTCCATTCAATTCCATTCGAGTCAATTCCATTCCATTCCATTTGAGTCCATTCAATTGCATTCCATTCTAGACCATGCCATTCCATTCCATTTGAGACCATGCCATTCCATTCCATTTGAGTCCATTCAATCTCATTCCATTACATTCGATTCCATTCCGTTCCATTTCATTCCACTCGAGTCGTTTTCATTCCATTCCATTCCATTCGAGTACATTCCACTCCATTCGAGTCCTTTAAATTCCATTCCATTCGATTCCATTCGATTCCATTCCATTACATTACATTCCTTTCCATTCCATTCTATTACATTCGAATCCATTCCATTCCATTCCATTAGAGTCCATTCCACTAAATTCCAATCTAATCTATTCCATTCTAGTCCATTCCATTTCATTCCATTGCATTCCATTGCATTCCGTTCCATTCCATTCCTTTCCATTCCATTCCATTCCATTCGTGACCTTTCCATTCCATTCCATTCGAGTCTGTTGCATTCCATTCAATTCCAGTCCATTTAATTCCTTTCCATTCCATTCGAGTCCATTTCACTCCATTGCATTCGAGCCCATTCCATTCCATTCTATTCGAGTCCATTCCTTTCAATTCCATTCGAGTCAATTCCATTCCATTCCATTCGAGTGCATTCCATTCCATTCCATTCCACTCGAGTCGTTTCCTTTCCATTCCATTCGTGTCCATTCCATTCCATTGGAGTTCCTTCCATTGAATTCCATTCGAGACAATTCCACTGTATTCCACTCGAATCCATTCCATTCCATTCCATTCGAGTACATTACACTCCATTCGAGTCCATTCCATTTCATTCCATTCAATTAAAATCCATTCCTTTCCATTCTATTCCATTCCATTCCATTCCATTCCATTCTCTTCCACTCCATTCCTTTCCATTCCATTCCATTCCATTCCATTCCATTCCATTCCTCTCCATTCCATTCCATTCCATTCCATTTGTGTCCATTCCTTTCCACTCCATTCGAGTCCATTCCATTCCATTGCATTCGAGTCTATTCCATTCCATTGCATGCCATTCCAGTTCCTTCCCCTGCATTCCATTTCATTCGAGTCCGCTCCATTCCATTCCACTTGAGTCAATTCCATTCCATTCCATTCCATTCGAGTCCATTCCATTCCATTACATTCTATTCGAATCCATTCCATTGCATTTGATTCCTTTCCATTCCATTTCATTCAAGTCCACTCCTTTCCATTCCATTCTAGTCCATTCTGTTCCATTCCACTCCATTCCATTCCCTTCCATTCCATTCCATTCCATCCCCTTCCATTCCATACCTTTCGTGTCCATTCCATTCCATTCCATTCGTGTCCATTCCGTTCCATTCTATTCCATTCGAGTCCATTCCATTCCATTCCATTAGAGTCCATACCATTAGATTACAATCCAATAAATTCCACTCTATTCCATTCGAGTCCATTCCATTGCATTCCATTCCATTGCATTCGAGTCGATTGCATTCCATTCCAATCCATTCCATTCCATTTTATTCCTTTCCATTCCATTCCATTCCATTCGTGTCCATTCCATTCTATTCGAGTCCATTCCATACCATTACATTCCGTTTGACTCGAATCCATTGAATTCCGTTCCATTCCATTCGAATCCATTCCACTCCATTCCATTTGACTCCATTCTATTCCATTCCATTGCACTGGAGTCCATTCCATTCCATTCGAGTCCTTTCTATTCCATATCACTTGACTCCATTCCATTCCTTGCCATTCTATTCCACTCAATCCATTCCTTTCCATTCCATTTCATTCCTTTCCATTCCATTCCTGTCCATTCCATTCCATTCCATTCGAATCCATTCCATTCCATTCTATTGCATTCAAGTCCATTCCATTCCACTTGAGTCCATTCCATTCCATTCCATTCGAGTCCATTCCATTCCATTTGACTCCTTTCCATTCCATTTGATTCGAGTCCATTCCATTCCATTCCATTGCACTCCACTCCACTCCACTCCACTCCACTCCACTCCATTCCATTCCATTCCAGAAGAGGTTAGGAGTCTGACCAAAGTTTCACCAAGCAAAGAATCTTTCTCAATTTTGATAATTTAAGACCAGTCAAACAAAAGTTACAAAATATATGAAGAAATAATCCGTCATGAGGAAGAGTCAATAAAAAAAAGAGGGAGAGTTGGATTTCAGGCACTTGAATGATTATATAGCATGCAAAATAATATTACTTAAAGTGCTTACACAAATAAAAGATGGAACAGTAAGAACAAACAATAAAAGCATAAAAAAGAATAACATACAGTATCAAGATAAGACAACCTACAGAATGTAAGAAAATATTTGCAAATCATATATCTGGTAAGGGACTAATAGCTTTTTTTTTTGAGATGGAGTTTCCATCTTGTTGTCCAAGGCTGGAGTTCAGTGACATGATCTTGGCTCACTGCAACTTCTGCCTCCCAAATTCAAGCAATTCTCCCTGCCTCAGCCTCCCAAGTTGCTGGGATCACAGGCATGCACCACCACATCCGGCTAATTTTGTATTTTCAGTAGAGATCGGGTTTCACCAGGTTGTCCAGGCTGGTCTTGAACTTCTGTCCTCTGGTGATTCACCCACCTTGGCCTCCCAAAATGCTGAGATTACAGGCATGAGCCACTGCGCTTGGCCATATCAGTTTTTTTTTTAAGAGACATGGTCTTGCTTAATATCGAGTATATAAAGAACACTTACACCTCAGAAACTTGACAAAAACAAAGAGACCAGGCACAGTGGCTCATGCCTGTAATCCCAGCACTTTGGGAGACTGAGATGGGAAGATCACTTTAGGCCAGGAGTTCAAGGCCAGCTTGGTCAACATAGTGAGATCCCCATCTCTAAAAAAGAAAAAAAATAAAATAAAAAAAATGGTCAGGAGACGTGGCTCATGCCTGTAATCCTAGAACTTTGGAAGGTCAAGTCGGGAGGATCACTGGAGACCAGGAGTTTGGGACCAGCCCGGGCAACATAGCAAGACCTGCCCCCATCTCTATAAAAATGTACAACATTATCCAGGCATGCTGATACGCACCTGTAATCCAAGCTACTTGGGAAGCTGAGGCAGGAGAATCCCTTGAACAGAGGAGGCGTTGGTTGCAGTGGGCTGAGATTGGGCCACTGCACTCCAGCCCGGGGAACAGAGCTGGAGTTCCCCGAGACTCTGTATCAAAAAATAAAAAAAAAAAAAAAAAAGAGAAAAACATTTGTTTTTACAGTCAGGTCTCAAGCCTGCAGTCAGAGTCATCCTATTAAAGTCAGCTCATGTCTCCTCTGCTCAATAGTCTCCAATACTTCCCATCTCATCTCACTCTGAGGAAAAACCAAAATCCTTAAGAGGACCAACAATCACTTTATGATCTGGACCCATCGCCTCTCCGCCCTCATTTGCAACAGCTCCTACTTCAGTCTTCCCTAGCCTGATGGCTCCCCTGCTATTCCTCAAACACCATGGCAGATGCCTGCCTCTGGGACTTGGTGTTCACCCTTCTGTATGTCTGAAAAGTTCCTTCCTCAGATATCCAAATGGCTAGCTTCCTCTCCCACACTCCCAAAAACCACTTCCTAACCTCTTTATCTGCTTCATTTTTTCTCCTTAAGACCACCACCTAACATAATGTATATATTTTCCCTCTTTGTTTTCTGTTGGTGCCCTTCACCGGAATGTGAGCTCTATGAAGCAGGGACTTAGTGTCTCCACTGCAGTCTATCTTGCATAGTTACATCCTTCATTATTTCACTCTTAGCTAAGTTCAAGCTAGTTTACTACTGCTGCATAGAGTTTAAACACTTCTATCAGGAATTCACTATGTTTCTGGATTTATGTGACTTTTTTGTTCCCTTCTGTTTATGATATATGATAGACTCTTGCTATTCTTAGAATTCTTTAAGACTCACAAATCCACAAACTGGAATATTTGTAGAGGCTCCTGGTCATCCCTTGAATCATACCTCCAAACCCCAAATTAACTCCTTTCAACATTTATTAAAGCTGCTTTCTTCTTGATCAATTCAGAAGAGTTATTATGTTGAAAAGTACAAAGCTGCACTGAGATTCAGACAATGGCATGTATCACGCTTGCTCTAGCAGATCATTGATCTTTGTGGGGCCGCTTGTAAATTGCAGATGCTGAGGAGGCAACATCAAGTA
This sequence comes from Homo sapiens, assembly GCF_000001405.40. Classification (NCBI taxonomy): domain Eukaryota; kingdom Metazoa; phylum Chordata; class Mammalia; order Primates; family Hominidae; genus Homo; species Homo sapiens. The sequence continues at coordinate 10,732,538 of NC_000022.11, forward strand.
TGAGGGGACTCTTGAACCGTTTGTACTAGTGATTATCTTTTCCCCATGTCTGTCTCTTTACTTACACTGTTATTGGAGCTATACCTTCTTCACTGGTAATTTCCACTCCTAAATCCAAATATAGTGAGTGACTAATTAATAATTACAGGCTGAGTAAATAATAAATGAGTCATTTTTTATCCTTTAGGGATCATATGCTTCTAAGAGCAACATCTGATAGTATTTTATCATCGATATCATTCATAATCTAATAGGTCTTCTGTGTCCTCAAGTTTTCTCATCCTTAATGCCTCCATTTTTGGGTTTTCCATTTACCTATTCAACCAATACTTGAGGTCCTACTATGTGTGATAGGGACACAGTTTGTACAGGCAGGTCTGGTTAGGTGAGGCTGAGGGTGGGGTGTGGAAATATAAATTCTTTGACTATGATATGTAGACTCAACCTTACAGACAATTACCTAAAAGAAGGCACGGGTGGCTGGTACCTAATTTGAGAGAGACTTTGGTACAAGATGAGTTCAAAGATGAGATAGGGGACAGATCGCAAAATACCTGATCTGCTGTGGTAAAAAAGTTGTGATTACAGTGCCATGGGTCTAACTTACCTAGTCATTTCTTGATCCAAATTTCATTTTTTACTCTGTTTTTCCTTATAATTTTCCTCTTAAATTTCGAGTTACTCTCTTTTCTTTATTTTACATTGTATGTGTTTGTGTGTGTATTTTTTTTTTAATTTTAGAAATAGGGACAGAGTCTGTGTTGCCCAGGCTGTATTCAACTCCTGGGCTCAAGTGATCCTCCTGCCTTAGCTTTCCGAGTAGCTGGAACTACAGGTACACACCACCATGCCTGCCTTATATTCTTTAATATTACCTATAATCTTTCTAACACCCACCTTCAATTTTCTTAAAGTCATTAGTGAGATTAGGTAACAATTTATGGCAAAAGGCACAACAAAAGTGATTACGAGCAGGTGCACCAAGCATGGCAATAAGAGAAACCAATACATCCACTTCCACGCAAAACATTCTAAGAAATATTAAAAATGAAATAACATTTCTGGACTTGAACATTTTGCATTATTTTCCTTTTTTCCCTAAGCCCACTCAACAGTAAATTAGTCTGCAAAAATAAATCTGCTCATGATCTGACTCATAGTTTGTAAACCCTATACTATATAATATACATATTTATATGTAAAATATACATGCCTTGCCTTTTAAAAATTATTATATTTATATTACTCCAGAATTTGTTTCAACATTATCTGTTTGAGCAATGCATTTTTTTTTAAAGACATGGTCTTACTCCATCGCCCAGGCTGGAGTGCAGTGGCATGATCATAGCTCACTGCAGCCTCCAACTTCTGGGCTCAATTGATCATCCTGACTCAGTCTCTCCAATAGTGGGACTATACGAACACACCACCATGCCTGGCTAATTTTTATTTTTTTATTTTTGTAGAGACAGTATCTCCCTATGTTGCCCAGACTGGCAGTGAATTTTTTCGAGAAGAAATTGTGCTCATTTTAACCAAAACTTTATAAATATTTTAATATTTATTTAATATCTCTTCATATTCTATGGAACAATCAATCATTTATAATTCATATATTTGCATGAAGGGTGAAATAGTAAATTAATAATTTAAAAAACACTTAAGGATAATCTTCTACAATACAAATCTTTAAAAGTTATAATTTTGTTATTATATCTAAAACTCAGATTTCCCTACTACTGCAGGTTTCTGAATCTCCTAGAAGATTCAAACACTATCTTAATAAAGCAAACTCTGAACTTTATTGTGATAGTGTAATGCTGAAAACGTAAAAGGTATTAATTCCATTCTGGCTGGGCGTGGTGATTCATGCCTGTAACCCCAGAACTTTGGGAGGCCAAGGCAGGTGGATCACTTGAGGTCAGGAGTTCAAGATCTGCCTGGCCAACATAGTGAAACCCCGTCTCTACTAAAAATACAAAAAATAGCTGGGCATGGTGGCGGATGCCTGTAATCTCAACTACTCAGGAGGTTGAGGTGGGAGAATCGCTTGAATCTGGGAGGCGGAGGTTGCAGTGAGCTGAAGTGCACCACTGCACTCCAACCTGGGCATCAGAGTAAGACTCCATTTCCAAAAAGATAATTAATTCTGTCCTATTCTGGTAGCAGCTCAGCAAAAGGAAACATCCATCTATATTGAAATCTTTGGAACCAAGCTATAACACTATTGCAAACACTCACTGCATATATTCAACACATTTATTTAGATTTTCACTTATTTCCTCTTGCGGGTTTATGGCAGACTTCCTAAAGGCAAGATTAATTTCTGAGCCAGCTTTGCAACTCCTGCAAAATAAGATACAGGGCTGTGCACAAACTATGTGATCAATAAATATCTGCTGAACTCATAAACAATATACTTATAATCTATTATTACAATGTTTAGAAAAAAAGAAAGTTAATGAGGTATTATGAGTGAATAATAACGTCTTCAGAATAAAGGACTATTATTTTTTGGAGAGTAGGATCATTGGTCCAATACTCCATGTCAACTCTGCTGCTGGTTTGTGGCAAGGTAAAGAGCTTGCACCAGAATGTAAATCAACTAACTGCTTCTTACACTGAAGAGGTCTTGCTATTTTTAAAAAGTCAGCTGAACAGTAATCAGTATGTTTAGTGACATCGCCTATTTACATTCTGGCACAAGCTCCGGATCTCACTGCAAACCAGTAAGTCTGCACTGGCCCTGATCTGCAGGCCACACTTTTCAGAATCCTGGTTCCATGCTACTACTATAGTTGGACTAACAATAACAATGATGATAATTTTACCAATTAGCATTTATAGAGTGATTATTGCATACCAGATGCTATGTTCAGCACTTAAGCACTTTATATGGATTATTTCATTTAAACTCTTAAGGACCTCATGAGGGTTTACTTTATTATTTCCATTTTTCAAATGAGGAAATGTAAACCTTCAGAGGTTTAATTTATACAGCTTCTAGAAGATCATCTGTGGTAGATCAGGTGCTTCAAGTCAGGCACTATGATCTCTGCTTAACCTCAGTTAAGTGTATAGTGTATATACTTAACCATATATCCATACTGCTTCCTGACTATATTACATATTGCTTCCAGACTACATTTTTAAAAATAGACTCACGTTGCATCACTGGGGGTTGAAGAAATACTTGACACTAATGGAGATGTCAGGAAGAGAGGTCTGGAAGAAATACCATAAAACTGAAAAACATGGTATAGATAGATTGGTAAATCTTTTTTATAGATTTTAAAAACATTTCTAATACAAAGTTACAGTCAATATTTAATACACTTTATCTCTCAAGCAAGGTATGGTTTAATTGAAACAATGGACCTAATCATTACTAGGACTTTTAGAAGGTCACTTCTTTGTTTGCCTTTGTTTTAATAGCCTCAAATCTCCCAAAATATATCCTATTTCGTTTCCAGTATCAATTTAAAGTCTTTCTGGGAAAAGATAATGTCAAAATTCAAAATTTATTTTAAAATCCTTATTTCTAGACTTGTAACGAGTTGATTGCTTTGATTTTAAGTAAGCAAATCTAGTTAATTAGCTTTTTTTAAAAAAACGTCCATTTTTAACTCAATGTTGGTTCATATCAGATACAAACAGCCTTGTATTGACAATTGGTTGAATATACAATATTATATTAATAACAACAGATACTACAGTTGATCTTAGCCAAAAGGCCGAGAAGTGATGAATATACAGTATTGAATATTGTATTGCATATTGGTTGAATAACCAACCCTGCACAATCAAATTTTTTAAAAAGAATCCTTACATTCTAATGGTACTTAAAAAAATTTTAGCCTTTGGGCAGTGGCTCATGCCTGTAATCCCATCCTTTTGGGAGGCCAAGTGGGGAGGATAATTTGAGCCCAGGAGTTTGAGACTAGCCTGGGCAACACAGTGAGACCCTGTCTCTATTAAAAAAAACATATTTTTAAATGTATATACAGAAAGTCCCCCCGAGCTCAATCAATGTTTATGTATAGTATTAATATACCACTCCCCACAAATAAGTTTCTAAGTCAAAGGTATTGTCAGAAGTTCAAATGACTGGACCACTCAGTGCTTTGTGATATTATTTTGATGATTTTTTTGACTGCATTCCATTCCAAAAACTAATTTACTCTGAGTAGAAGCAGAGTTAATAAAGCATGCAAAAATACTAATCTGGCTTATTTAAGTAGTCTAGTGACATATCTGAGAAAAATTTTGTGTGAGATTCAATAAAAGCTGAGATTTAAAGAACAGGTTACTGCTGGTCTCCCCAAGTTAACATATTTTACCTGAGACATACACAAAATTAACTTTTATCCATCTCTCTCTCTCTCTTTTTTTTTTAAAGTATTTGCTTGAGGCATAATCATAATCAACTTCTAAAGTTACATTTTACTTGATTTGTTGTCCCAAATGTAGACAAAAAAACCCATAAATAGCCACAGGCACAGTGGCTCATGCCTGGAATCCCAGCACTTTGGAAGGCTGAGGCTGGAGGAGCCCAGGAGTTCCAGACCAGCCTAGGCAACATAGCAAGACTCTGTATCTAAAAAATCTGTTTAAAAATGTTTTAAAAAATATTTTTAAACATAAATATCAAGATTTCTGTTGTTAACAAAGTAATGGGTAGTCATTTTACATGAACTTTAATAAAACAATAATAGATGAACTGTGTTGTGCGTTCTACGGTGGCTAGAGGAAAATATAATCATTCTGGGGAATGCCAATGCATGAACTCCAGGAGTAGGCACTCTTCCATTAATCCTCCCAGATTTTCAGCCCCCTTTTCTGACCATTGGTCCTTAGTCTCCGCAGGTTCTTCCACCATCAGCCCCTCCCCACAACGTAAAATGTGCATACTTCAGGGCTCTATCCTTTACCCTCTTATTCCACATAATATCCCTGGAGTAAATCATCACATTTTAACTTCAATCACTAAATGCTTAATCCAAATTTCTATCTTCATCTCAGACTTTTTCCCTTTAGTTCCAGACCCACATGTCCAACTACTACTACTTATGGGACCTCCCAACATATATGACAGGCTTCTCAAACTGAACACATCTACCCCACTTCTTAAACTCCTCAAAAATTTTTTTTTCTTCTTTAGAGTTCAATGAATAACAGAATGATCCACCCCACTGTCATCCCTGGCTTCTCCTTCCTCATCTCCTGTATCACCAAGATCTGCTAATTCTACCTTTTTTAGTGGCCCCTCCTTCTTATTCCCACCGTCGCTCTCCTAGTTCTCTTCATTTCTTCACTGAGCTTCAGCAACATCTCCAGTTTTTTGTCTCCCATTTAGGCTCTCTACCAATCTGTCATTTGAGTGTTGCCAGTGATCCTTTCCAAATGCAAAACTGATCCAGTCACTGACCCAAATCCTCCTTATTACCTTTAAGGAAGATAAACTCATGGTCCTTAGGTTCCTTCTGATTTGGCCCACATTTGCCTTTCTGGCCTTACTTCCTCCCATTTTCTGCTAATACACATGAAGAAGTATTCTCCAGTTCAGCCAGAATAAACCATGGCTTAGTTGTTCTCCCGGCCTTCGTGCCTCAGCCCAGGCTGTTCTGCTTCAGAAGCACCTGGTCATTTCCTGTTCACCCTTTATGACATGCAATTCCAGAGCCCAGGAAGTACCTAAGACATTGTGAATGTGGTATCAATGTCTGCTCTATGCCTAAGTCAATAACAGCCCTTTATATTAAAAAAGTTCATTATGACATACAAGATATTTTCATTCATAATCTATAATCACATTTATCTTGATTCTCACAACTAGACTATCAGACAACCATTGCAGGTTTTATTATCCCAAGTTATCAATGACGAAATAATAGTTTCTGTTTTTCCAAAGGGGCAAAGCTAGAAATTAATGCAATGACCCCAAACTAAAGGTTTGACCTCTCTATTATTACCCTACTTAAATTATCAGGTACACAATGAAGCCCACCGTGTGCTAAAAGCAACACAGAAGAAGCGTAAGTCATGCACTTAGCTCCAAACATATTTAATCTAGTCAGAGGTACAAGACCCATCCATATGAGATAAAATTCTATACGAAAGCATCCTACAGAGCTAAATGCTAAACCGTGTAGCACCCCCAGTAGGAGAGAGAAGTGCATTTAGTGGGCATTAGCCTAATCCTGAAAGACTTTCCAGAAACTGGGGCAGCATGCTCCTGCAGTCCCCTTTATTTATTTATTTATTTATTTAACTTTTATTTTTTTTTTTTTTGAGATGGAGTCTTGCTCGGTCACCCAGGTTGGAGTACAGTGGCCCAATCTCTGCTCACTGCAAGCTCCGCCTCCCGGGTTCACGCCATTCTCCTGGCTCAGCCTCCCGAGTAGCTGGGACTACAGGTGCCCGCCACCATGCCCAGCTAACTTTTTGTATTTTTAGTAGAGACGGGGTTTCACCATGTTAGCTAGGATGGTCTCGATCTCCTGACCTCGTAATCCGCCCGCCTCGGCCTTCCAAAGTACTGGGATTACAGGCGTGAGCTACCGCGCCCGGCCAGTCTCCTTTAGACTGTGGACGAGTAAAGGTCTGAGAGACAGACATTCCGTGTGAGTGCAACAAATTGAACGTAGACCATGACAAGTTTGGAGAACAAAGAGGAAAACACCAAAAATAGAAATTTGATTGTTTTCCACTTTTGACCGAAATCCTTAAGAGTTTCAGAAAGTATCAGATAGAGAAAAAAGTATCCTCACTCTGGTAAAGAAAACAAAAACCAACAAAAACCCTAAAACCAACAAAAACAAAAATGAAAACTTCCTTCAACTTACCACAGTAAGGCTAGAAGACAGAACTATTAATAACATGTTCATTTGCTACATTTTTTATCAACCTATTTGCATTAAATAATGTTAACCTCCCACTAAAGTTATTTCTACGTTGAATTCTAGGTAGTCAAGAGATTTAAATAAGAAAAAGACAACATCTGTTTCTTCATTGTTACTTTGTTATTCCCGATCCATAATGCTTCAGTTTGCTACATTTAGCTAAACATCAGCAAAGTAAACAATAATGTAACTATTCTATCTAGTAATGAGCTTGGAGACTTAAAAAAAAATAGAACTTTATTCCTTTTTATTTGACCACTAATAACATACTGAACATGCCGGTGAAAAGAAATAAAACACAATGGTAGAAAACTCCAAAAAGGTACAATCAGTGTCTTTACCATTCATCCCCCACCCCTATCTCATTAGCAACTTTCTGATCTCGGGTGTTTTCTCCAATAGTAAAGTGTATCCCTATATCCAAAGCAATTTCTCTAAAGCCCTTCTCACTCATTCAACAAACGTTTAACAAGTACATTGCACTAGGTGATAGAGGAAGAGAAACTGAATATTGTCCCTGCCTCAGACATTTCAGTGCCTTTACACCTCACTTCCACTCCTAACCAGTCTTCTTCCACAGGTACCCTGTCCGCTAAAATCAAATGTTGTTTTTCACAGTTGCCTTTACTTGTCACCTAAAGTATTTCAATTCAAAATTTCCTCAAAGTCAACTTCACAGCTGCTGATAAAATAATCATTCTATATGATTACAAAGTGTTTCACCAATACATATCCCCATTTTTTCCAAACTTAAAACTTCTTCAGTCCTTACTACTTTAGCATAGAGACCTGAACTGTTGTTTCTTCTTTTTAAAAAAATACTAATGCTAATCCTTTACTGTTTGAGCAGACTTAATCCTACCTTTTCTTTTGTCAATAAATGCCAGGTGTTTTTTAAATCACTATCTTGTCACTTTTGATTATGATATACTGATCACTCTATTTGTATCTTGAATGAAAAGATCGCTTTGTGATTTTACCAATGATATGTAAACTAGAACTTGAGAACCACTGGATACAGAAGTACTGCTGATCTTTAGATACTTTCTGTCTAAAAATGAAGCCCCTGTCTCCAAATTTCAGGAACAGGGAGGTAAGGTTCCATGAAGTGTTTACTTTCCACCCTTAATTTATTACCTTAATACTTCAGCTTGAGAATTATGTGTTCTGTATATATCACGCTGCTTGTCAATATCCACACGTAAACCTTCTTGTTTTGACAATTAATCTGAAAAAGTCCCCATATAGTCTAAGAGGGGGAAAACCTAATTTGGAAGAATATAATAAATGTCAGTTTCCATCACAGAATATATGCTTCTCAAGTTCAATTAACCTCTCAATGATTCCCTTTCTAAGAGGAAAGTAATTCTCCTTAGTGTCCTTGTCATCCATGGAGTGGAAATCTTTATACTGGCAAGATTAGTAATCACTTGCATGACCCCCAAAATGGCTCTTCCTTCCATTTCCCTCAAGTACTGTCTGGAGCAGCGGTTGGAATAATAGAGGGGCCATAATCTCCAGACCTGAGTACCAAATCAATCCTGCAGCCCCCACACCCTTAATGCCCCTGCACTTTCTTGCTTATCCTTTTTCTCTCCTCTCCATTTTTCTTTCCTCCTCCCGGTGTTCCGGAACCTATGACACTCTCCTGGTTGTTTGAATTTTTACAACCTACCAGATAATAATCCCTTGTGATCCTCAAAGCTTCCTTAAAGCAAACCCTGCATCACTGTGTTTTAAAACCAGTATGAAAGACTATTGTGTGAGATAATGTTACATGGTTTCACAGCCCTACAAAGTTTGGCCACAAAACGTGTGGGCAGATTCCGTAACTCAACCGGAAACGCGAAGGACTGAAACAAATCAACACACACAAAACGAAGCCAGCGACAAAGATCCAACCAGGGCCCCCTGCCTGAAATGGGACACGGGGATGATGGCAAAGCCGTGCTCTTGGCTCTCGCGATTCAGGAGGCGCTCCTGGCTCACTGGGGACGACAGCGACGACGGCAGCGGCTCGCATTGCTCCATGCTTCCCGTCAGGGGGGTTCGAGGGACCACCCCAGGCCCGGCCCATGCCCGGGCTCCGAGGGAGCCCCGGGTGCGAGGGCTGCCCGCAGGGTTCCATCCTCCCGCTGAGGCGTGGCTCCCGGAGCAGGAGGCGTGGAGGCGGCCCTCGGCATTTCGGAGTCGGGGCGGGGAACGTCCACGGCCAACTGCGGGCAGGGGACCCCCAGGCGGCTACAACAGGTGCGCCGGGGCCGCACACCCGGCTCGGGGCGCGCTCGCCCCTGCGCCGACCCCCGACCCCTTCCGCCGCGGGGGCCCAGCTGTTACCTGCAGCGGCGCCTCCCGAGTCCCGGGAGGGCGGCCCAGGGCCGGCGCCTTACCCGCGGGCAGGCCCACTCGCCCGACGGACGCCGCGGGTCGGCGACGTCGGGGCACAGGTCCTGCCAGGCCGCGGGGGCCGCCAGGGAGGGCGCGACCGCCTGACCGGGCTTCAGGGGCAGTGTCCTCAGCCGGTGACCTGGCCGCTACCCTCGCTCAGTGTCCCAGGCGACGCGCGGATCCTCACGCGCTTCCTCACTTCCTGCGGCTTTTGGTCCCTCCCGCTTGCAGTCCCTCTGGTTCTGCCCACTCCGCCTCCCGGTTGTCAGGGCAACCGTAGCGACGCCGGACCTGGCTGAGAGGCGTTAGGAGCCCCGGCGTTCGCCCGCGGAGGCCGGGGAGCAGCCGACCATGGAGCCCCAGAGTAAGGGAGGCCCAGGCTGGAGCTGGGACCGGGGCAGGTGACCGGGCTGGGGCTCCCCGGGAACGAGTGTGGGCGCCCCGCGCGGGACTCCGCAGGTTTCAACGCTCGGACACGGAAATACGGTTTGCGTCTCCTAGCACTTTTCTCTCTTGGAGAGGGGAGAAGGGGGCTACATCCTGCCAAGTCTGTATGGTTGGGCCGTTGGCGCCCGAAAGTCCGCGCTGGGGGCCGGGAGCGACTGGAGAGCCCCGAGCTATGGGTGGGGGAGGGCTCAGCGACCCCAGCTTTCACCTTCCTGAAACTTCGCCCAGACAGTTCCATTTACTCCTCCTCCTACTCATGATTTTAGTTTGGTAGTTTGGTTCATTAATTGTAAGTAGCCCATTTTTCTTCTAAAATGTCAGCAATTAAACACGTCCTAGACTGGGTCTTGTGTTTATTAGGGACCCCGTCTTACTCCCCGTCCCCCGCCCCACACCCCTAGTCTGCGACTTGAAGGAGAGAGAGAAAAAAAGAACTTTGTCCAAGTGTATTTGATTCATTCTTAGGGGTTCTACAAGTTAGGACACTCAAAAAAATGTTTGTGAGCTCTTTTTCTGTTTTCCCATGTTGCTTTCGATGTATGGCAAACGTTGTGCAGTTTTGAGTTATCAGATCTAACACGAGCTCTAACTTACTATTTTTGTTGTTGTTTTTACCTTTCCAGGGACTTTGTTTCAAGACCTTTCTTTCTCTTCCCCGCCTAGGTTGTCTTATTGTTCCTTTTGTTCTCAAAATAAGGGGAGTGTTTTGTATGGAGACTTAAAATATCTAAAACCTTCATAGAAGGATGCAGTTTGACTCTCAAACCAAGAGGTCTTATCTTGTACAATTTCAGAAATGAAGAACTCAGACCAAATCTATTCTCTGGGGAAAATGCTGGCATTTTTAAAGGTCATTCGTTTTCCACCAAGAAAGTTTCAAATACTTTTCCTTTTAACTCATTTGCTGAGGAGAAAGCTTGCAAGTTGTGACTTATAGTTGCTTGATAGATTTTGTACAGTATTTGTCATTTGCATTTACAGCTCTTTGGATTCTACATTTTTTTAACCTAGTAAAAGAAATTTAGCATGAGACAAGGGTAAAATTTTTGTTTTATGTCAAACTGATGGCAGGCTGTGTGTATTCCCACCTTAGAGAAGTGAGTTGAAATGTATCTTTTAAAAACAACAACTTGGCCAGGCCCGGTGGCTCACGCCTGTAATCCCAGCACTTTGGGAGGATGAGGCAGGCAGATCACAAGGTCAGGAGATTGAGACCATCTTGGCCAATACAGTGAAACCCATCTCTACTAAAATACAAAAAGAAAGAAAGAAAGAAAGAAAGAAAGAAAGCCAGGCATTGTGGCGCGTGCCTGGAGTCCTAGCTACTTGGGACGCTGAGGCTGAGGCAGGGAAATCGCTTGAACCTGGGAGGCGGAGGTTGCAGTGAGGCCAGATTGCACCACTGCACTCCAGCCTGGTGACAGAGCGAGACTCCATCTCGAAAAAACAAACAGAAAAAAACTTTATTTCTTCAGATTTATGTTACTGTTTACATGTGTAAACTATAATTTCAAGTTCTTCAGTGCTGTCTTTATCCATTCATTCATTTATAGTGCCTGTTATGTTGCAGCTCTGTTCTAGGTATTGGGGATTGAACAACGGATCAGACAGTGTTAGTTTTGGTCATCCCAGGAAAATTAAGCAGAGGCTTGCTCAAGAACTACTGACGTCTTGGTGGGGTTCGGAGATTGGGGGAAGAGGAGATGGACAAAGGCTCCCAAGAGGAAGTAGTACTGGGTCTGCAGAATGACCCAACAAAGAATGAGGGCAAGGGATTCCAGGCAGTGGGAATTACTGGTACATAGGCCCTGAGACCTGAGAGCAGCGTGGGTTTGAGTCTCACAGTAGGAAGATTAGTAAGGCTGTAGCTAAGGAGAGGAGGAGGAAAAAACAGGGTTGGTAGGAGGGAGGAGAAGTTAGATAAGGCTGGAAAAGTCAACCGGAGCCAGATCAGAAAGGTTCTGTAACCATGTGAGAAATGTATTACATATGTGAACTATACATTTATATCTCATGTCATTGGATTTTTGAGGTGGAAAATATTTAATTTATACCTGAGGAATGACTGTAAATTTCTTTCTTTCCACATATTCTTAAATGATCTCATCAATTTAATTTTAAATAATTCAATCACCATTTAGCTCAAGTTTTGTTTTTTTTTTTTTTTTTTGAGACAGGGTCTTGTTCTGTCACCCAGGCTGGAGTATAGTGGTGCGATCATAGCTCACTACACCCTTGAACCCTTGGGCTCAAGCAATCCTCTCAGCTGAGCCTCCTGAGTAGATGTGACTACAGGTGTGTGCCACCATACCCAGCTAATTTATTTATTTATTTAGAGACAGAGTTTCGCTCTTGTTGCCCAAGCTGGAGTGCAATGGTGTGATCTTGGCTCACTGCAACCTCCGCCTCCCAGGTTCAAGCAATTCTCCTGCGTCAGCCTCCCAAGTAGCTGGGATTACAGGCATGTGCCACCATGCCTGGCTAATTTTGTATTTTTAGTAGAGATGGGGTTTCTCCATGTTGGTTCGGCGGGTCTTGAACTCCTAACTTCAGGTGATCCTCCTGCCCTGGCCTCCCAGAATGCTGGATTACAGGTGAGAGCCACTGTGCCCAGCCCCTAATTTTTTTTTTAGTTTTATTTACTTTGAATGGAGATAAAGTCTGATTTTGTTGCCCAATTTGTTCTCGAACACCTGGCCTCAAATGATCCTCCTGCCTCGTCCTCCCAAAGTGCTAAGATTACAGGTGTGAGCCAGCACACCCAGCCTGGAAATTATTTTACAGTCTAAGAAACATAATTTGGATAAATATTTACTACCAAATGAGTTATTAAATATTTAAAAGGACAAGATTAAATGGTCTTTGAGGTTTCTTTTAACTTGGAGATTTGTATCCAACCAGATTTCACCTGAGACTGAAGTTATTTCCTACCGTCAGCGATAATGGAAGCACTACAGTTGTGGCATTCAAGTTTTACAGTGAATTACAATTATACTGTCAGCAATATTATGTTAACAGCACATTGTTTATGGCAATATTATCTAACATATTTTAAGCCCTGTTCCTTTTGTTACTGAGAGGTCTAAAATAACGTTTTACAAGTATAGTTGAATATAGCATCAGTAAATTGGTTATGAGGAAGACTCCTTCATAATTGCTTTTAAGGATTAAACATGTATCTAAGGACAACACCAAGGAACTACTAGAAATAACCCTCGAGTCAGTCTTTTCCGTTCTGTTTCCACACCCTTAGTTTTCTATTATTTTTAGGAATGACCTTTGTTAACTAAGTCATTAAAATCCAATAAACATAAACTCTTCAGACCCCACTGCTGGATCATACTCTTGGCAGCAAGCAGAGGAAGGCAGGGGCTACCACTGTTTTACAGAATAATAGTAAGTCAATGATCCAAGAAATGACTTCCCAGGGAAAGGGCAAATTAAATACGTTCACAACTTTGGGCTGTTGAGAGTGGTTTTGGCTCTTGGCTTGCACTTTGACGTTTTTAATTCTTTTCTTGCTAAACCAACTTCAGTATTGGAAAGATAGCTCATGTATAAAATAACATGGAAAATGTACATCACATCCCATTTGTTTTGGGTTTTTGTCTTTTTTTTTCTTTTTTTGGAAAATAGTTCAATAGTACTATCTCTTCCTTAATTTCTTAATGAGTGTCAATACCAAGGGGCAGCTTTGGGGATCTTTAGCCCAAATCTAAGCAAAAATATAATCTGAGTAAAAACTGTGTATATTTATCAAATGCAACATCAAGACAAGCCCCCCAACTCCCACTTGGTGCTGCCTGTTCTGTAAGCTCTTGCTATATATATATATATATATATATATTAAAAATCTGGGGTTAGTTTAGGCCCAGCAGGTAGCAGTTTTCTGCTACACATGTTTCTTTCTGTTTTTGTTTGTTTGTTTTTTGTTTTTTGAGACAGAGTCTTGCTCTGTTACCCAGGCTGCAGTGTAGTGACACTAGCTTGGCTCACTGCAACCTCCGCCTCCCAGGTTCCAGCAATTCTCCTGTCTCAGCCTCCCAAGTAGCTGGGATTACAGGTGCACGCCATCACGCCTGGCTAATTTTGTATTTTTATAGAGACAGGTTTTCACCATGTTGGTCAGGCTGGTCTCGAACTCCTCATGTCATGTGATCCACCTGCCTCGGCCTCCCAAAATGCTGGGATTATAGGCGTGTGCCACTGTGTCCAGCCTTTTTCTGCCTCCCCCTTTTTTTTGTAGTTGTTGTTTTTAGAGAGACAGGGTCTTGCTGTGTTGCCCAGGTATGCCTCAAACTCCTGGGTTCAAGGGATCCTCCCCCATCGGCCTCCCTGGGCTTACGCATGTTTTTAAAGAAATGGTAGATAAGAGATCTAAGGTATTCCAGTGACTAAGAAACTGAGGTGAATGACTAAGGGACTGAGACTTCTCTCTCCAAACCTGTTTCTCCACTAGTCTTCCAAGCCTTCCCAGTTACTCCAACCTGAAAATGAGTCATCCTTGGCTCCTCATTACCAACCCTCACCCCACTCTTCTCCATCCACCAGCAGATCTGTTTATTCCACTTCCAAAATATGCCCCAAATGTTCTTCCTCTTCCTCCGTACTCCAAGCTACCACGCCGTGTAAGTTATGATTGTGATTTTTGCATGTCTTCTTCCACTGCTACCTGGAAGCTGGAGTGACCTTTCAAAATATACATCAGATCAGATCATGTCACTCTCCTGCCAAAAGCCCTCCAAAGTTCTTACGGTGATCTAGCTGCCTCTTCAAACTCATCACACATCTGATCTTAGATGTATTATGCTTCAAGCACATTGGTCTTCTTGTAGTCCCTCAAACAAGCTTCTTTCAGGACTGTGGCTCTGAACAAGCTTTCCTCTCTGCCAGGGATGCTATTCCCTCCTGCTATGGCAGGTCTGACTCCTAATGTCCTTTAATCTTTGCCTAAATTTCACCTCCTCCAGCCCTTACCTGGCTTCCTAAAGTGGTGGTGTCCCCTCTCTGATGTTATTTTATCTCTGTGCTTTTCTCTTAATGGTAATAATCAGAACTTGTAATTATTTTGTTAATATTTAAAATCTAGCTGGACATGGTGGCTCACGCCTGTAATCCCAGCATTTTGGGAGGCCAAGGCGGGAGGATCACCTGAGGTCAGGGGTTCGAGACCAGTCTGGCCAACTGGCGAAACCCCATCTCTACTAAAAATACAAAATTAGCCAGGTGTCATGTTGCACACCTGTAATCCTAGCTACTCACGTGGCTGAGGCAGGAGAATTGCTTGAACCCAGGAGGCAGAGGTTGCAGTGAGCCGAGATAACACCACTGTTCTCCAGCCTGGGAGACAAGAGCAATGTGGGGTAGGGGGAGGGGGGAGGGATAGCATTAGGAGATATACCTAATGCTAAATGACGAGTTAATGGGTGCAGCACACCAGCATGGCACATGTATACATATGTAACTAATCTGCACATTGTGCACGTGTACCCTAAAACTTAAAGTATAATAATAATTTTTAAAAAATCTACTTTCTTCACTCGACTGTAGGGTGGTGGAAGAGGTCAGGGGACCTGTCTGCCCTGTTTGCCATCCTGTCCCTAGTGCCTAACATGGAGTAAACCCTAAACATTCATGGAATGGATAGCACTGCTGTTCACAGATAGATGCCTTACCTACTTTCATTTCCTTGAGTGTTGTGGTGGTGTTAAAAAAGAAAGCCATTTTATTCTACATTATTCTACAACACAAAGGGCTGTGCTCCAGTGAAATTTGAAGTGCCTTTTGTGGAGTGTGCTTTGAGTAAAGTTCATTTAAATCAGTTACTTATAAATGTTAGGTCAATTACAAATATGGTGTCCCATTTTCTTTTCTAACCTAAACGAGATGTTTTAAACGAGTCTCATTCTATCCGGTAAGAATAAGGAAAGAGGCAAGTAATCTTATTTTTTGGACCAAGCGGCCACGAGGTCATAAGACCTAAAAATCTTTACACTCCCAGGCAACACCTGCTCATTAATTATCTGGGAGACTGGTAAGGATTTAAAAGTAATTTTTTCCTTA
Source organism: Homo sapiens (assembly GCF_000001405.40). NCBI lineage: Eukaryota > Metazoa > Chordata > Mammalia > Primates > Hominidae > Homo > Homo sapiens. The sequence continues at coordinate 10,748,338 of NC_000022.11, forward strand.
AGCCCAGGAATCATTTAAAAAATCTGTATAACATTTTTTTCTCATGTAGTCTTAGCCCCGAAGAATATTAAGTCATCAATTAGGTTATAATTCAAATCTTATCAAGAAATAAATGCTTATATAAATCAAGATTAAAAAAATTTTCAAAGCAGCGTTTTTTAAACAGTCACGTTTTAAAATCCCCATCAAAATGGTAAAATTCATTGTGATCCTGACCTCTGATGCTGTCAGCCACAGGAAGGGGCAAAACGACTTGAGGCTTGAAGTCGTTTCCCAAAGCTCAGGTTCACCAAACATGGTCTCCAGATGGAGTCTGTTCCTCAGAACCTGGGCTTTACTTCTTGATGGGAGAAGGAAGCAGTGTTAAAACTTGTCTATTCTGAACTAGCCAACCAGATTAAAGGAGGGGTTTGTGCATACTAACATCATCCCAGAATGACCTGAATGACTCATTACATGCAGACAGTGGTGCAAACTCATTAACAAGTAAACAACTCACACCAGTGCTCTGTGCTCACAGGGCTGGGGGTATTCCTGGGTATTTTTCTTAAGGGAGGCTGGAAGAAGGGAGGAGGCATTCCTTTCTCTCAGAGGTAAAGGCCAGTTCCTTTTGCTGTGCCCCAGGCCTTTCCTGGTTGGTATAAACTCTTCCAGGCCTTTTCTTGGGAAGGTGCTCTCATCCCCACCCTCCTGCCTCCTCCCTCCACCTGTTGTGCACTCCCTGAGAGAAACAAAACAAGTTAATTAGCTTATTCAGCTACTTGGGAAGCTGAGGCAGGAGGACTGCTTAAGCCTAGGAGTTTGGATTCAGCCCGGGCAACATGTCGAGACCCCATCTCTAATTTTTTTTTAAGTTTTTGGTTTTTTTAATGTAAATTAACATATTCAGGCTAGTGCATGTCATCCAAAGAGGCTAGACCGTATCATTGGTAGGTAGATAAGAAAGGTCAGAGGACTGACAGAATTTAGGGTAAAAGAAAAGCAGCAGGACTTAATGTCAAGAAATACAAAGATAACCAAAGAAAAGAGGCTGGAGTTAAAGCTTAAGTGAAGTAAAAGGAATTAAAGCTAAATGATGAGTAAATACATTGAGGAACAGGGGGTGAATTAAGATGTGTAGCATTTCCATGTTTAAACCTTGCAAAAACTTCTCATTGCAGACCGAACAGAACCCAAACTCCTTCCCTTGCTTACAAGCCTACATGATCTAGCCTTTGTTCGCCTTGATGATGTCTCTACTACCCTCACCTAGTAGGCTACTATGCTCCAAGTAAAATGACATGCTGTCTGTTCATGAATCATGCCAAGTCCACTCCTCAAGGTCTGTGTAGTGGTCTGTTCCCTCTCCCTGGAATGTTCTTTCCTCTTATCTTGCATGATTGGCTTCTTACCATTCAGTTTTCCTATTCAGGAAGTATATCTGGTTGTATCTCCTAGATGGATTTTTAGTGTAAAATTTCCAGAAAAGGTTAATGTATCCTTGTATCATCATGAAAATAATGTTGCAACAATGACCAGCCATTTACCTATGACACAGCACCCTAAAAGTGTTTCCTGATGAAAATCTTGGCCTTCTTCACAGATACTCTCTTTAGTGGATTTCTTTATAATGAGATACATGCTTTTGTTAAATTTCTCAACTTTTATAAAAAGATGTCAACCTTACTCCTAACTCAGTCAACTATCACAGCTACTGCTCTGCCCTTTAGGAAGCAACAGAAAATACATATACTCAATATGTATTATCATTCTCATAACTTAAGCCTTAGATTTGAGGTAAAATAACTACCCTTTTTAAAGCAGTTAATATATACAAGGCACAATGTTATGTGAATTCCATTCATTGTGTTCATTTAACCCTCATAATAACACTATGATTTAAGACAGTATCATTTTAAAAGCATAAAAAGTAACTTCTGCCATGACACACAATTAGGATAGGAAGAAATATTTATAAAAGGTGTTAAAAAGGTGACAAAACATCCTATCTGCAATATTCTTTAAATTATATCCTTGGAACTTAATCCAAGATTATGATCTTCTTAACAGATGGGTCAGAACGCTGTGTAGTTAGAATGCACTGTTTAAGATCCCCAAGGAGGCCGGGCACGATGGCTCACACCTCTGTATCCCAGCAGTTTGGGAGGCTGAGACGGGCAGACCACGAGGTCAGGAGTCGGAGACAAATCTAGCCAACATAGTGAAACCCCGTCTCTACTAAAAATACAAAAAATTAACCGGGTGTTATGGTGTGCGCCTGTAATCCCACCTACTTGGGAGGCTGAGGCAGGAGAAATCACCTGAACCCAGAAAGCGGAGTTTGCAGTGAGCCAAGGCCATGCCACTGCATTCCAGCCAGGGTGACAGAGCGAGACTCCATCTCAAAAAAAAAAAAAAAAAACCAAAGAAATCTAATTTAGTCATTTAGGCCTTGATTTTATACCACTGACTTAGTTTGAAGGCTGCTATAAGAAACAGCCCTATGAAACTGGTATTTTTCTACTGCAAGGTGGCTACTTTAAGACAATTTTTCATTGCATTCTATCAAGGGATGTCTTATTATTATATCATTATATCAAGTGATGTTATAAATAGTAAGAATCAGATTAAGGGCTCATATGTCCTTCTTTGTATTGACTGTTGAAAAGGTACGGGGCCAAATTTGTGGTTTGTCTGGAATTACATATTTTTTGGGGGTCTCTCTATTATCTTCATATTTATCCTATCTAAATTTTCCATTGCCAAATTTCCTTACTTATTTTTAGTTTTATCCTATTGCTCATGTATTTTTATGAGTCTCCATAAGTCTATTTTGGAAAAAGGCAGAGTACTCATAATTTTAGTATATCTTTTAGCTTTATGTTGCTATAAACCTTTCATTATATACATGATCAACAACAGCAAATTATCTCACCTCAGTATTTAGTTTATTATTTTACAAACTGATTTATGATTGCTAACATGTAACTGAAGGCATACACTATTCGAACACAGTTTTCAGTAGAAAGTAGCACTGCCATTGAGTAAAAAAATGTTCTAACATCAGAGCAACATTCTTATACAAGTTTGCATGTTGTTTACTGAGGTCTAAAGTATGACTACACAAAAGGCTGAATAAAATTCAGATTCTTACATACACATAAAATTGTTTTATTGAGATGACAAAGTATATTTATTATGCCACTCAGAATATAATCCACTCTGATAACTGCCAGTGTGTGCACTTGCTGAAGTAACTCAGTACATAAATAGTAACCACAACAGTTGCCGTGCATGAAAGTTCTTCTCTTCCAGATTGAAGAGTGTACAATCTAAAGCATTTTAAAACTTTAAATCCCTTATTAGCTTAAATATAATTTAAAATTTTAGTTTGCCTTACCTATAATTTGTCTGTACACTAGGTTACTAAGGGTGATATGATTACATATGTGGACACAAAATAATTTTAATGGAAAATGAAATTAGGGTACTCAACAAAGATAAAGGGTAATGATCATGTACACTAACCATATTTGAGATTAGTTTAAGCCTGGGGTAGCTATACTTATGTTTCACAGACCTGGAGAACATAGAAAAAAAAGCTTTTATCAACATTGCTAAGGAACAGGTAAAAGCTAACATTAGGTAACTAAGAGGTGACATAAAAAAGACTGAATAAAATATCATGGAGGTTCCATAATAAGATTGGAAATTCAATAGACTAGGAGAAAAAAGATGCCAAATTGGGAAAACACATAGTAAGAAAAACGAGAGATCTCTATTTAATGATACAATAGTAGAGTTATGATTTCCTGTATAATGTAAATTTCAAGCATTTAAACATTTTCATTGAATTATAAAATACTATTTGGAAAAGAAAGAAAAACAGCACAACTGCAGATTACAGATGACTAAGATAGATGAATCATGAAAAGGTGCTAGCAGAGATTTCTATCACACCTATCAGGGATACAAAATTTCCAAGAATTTCAGAAGTGTTTGGTGATCCTATTAACGTAAATCCTGAAATAACACCTGAGTGAACTGTCTTCTAATTCTTCAACTGGATGGCTTTTTAGTGTAAAAGATGTTGAATACTGATTGACTTTTTAATAATTTTATAGTATATGTCAGAAATACTGCACAGTCCCTATTTACATCTTTCTACAGTGGTTTTTAAAATGTTTTAAGAATAAAAAACATGCAAACTTTATTTGATTTTTCTGAGGAAATAACTTTTTGGATTTAATTTCAATGAAACTGTTGATAACATTTCCCTCCCCAACAATCTCTGGCAACGATCCCTCAGATTTTAATGATTATGTATTATTACCTTTTAATACAAGTAGAATAACACTCAGGGAATTTACAACATTTGTTATTTTCAGTAAATACATTGGTTGAAGTTTAAAAGTCTATGCGTAGTAAACTTACATCTTTCAGGAGCTTGGTCAATGTGTTCTGGACAAAGCAGGAAGATGTGACTGAAATCCTGAAAGGAGCCGGCTCCTGCAGCACAAGAATAATGATACATCTGGGTACATTTCTCTTCACAGCATTTGATAGTGGCTCCAAAGTGCTTACAAAATGCACATCGCTGAAAGGGGTAAAGGAGAGAAATCTCTTTATAAAACCTTGAAAAGGAATATTCAAATATAAACTGGGAAGGTATAAAAAACTCTCTGTACATCACAAGTAAACAAATTGAACCTGCAAAATATTAAACAAAGGATTCGTTAAAAATAATAAAATCTACATTACTCAATTTAGTGCTTCGTGTGCTACCAACTCATCCTTCCATTCAAATTAGAAAGTTAGAATTTCATTCCTTATATTTTCAAAAATAAATTGTGAACCATTTTAGAAACAAAACCTAAAGATTTTTTTTTAAAAGCAAATGCTAATATGGTTAAAGGGGCAGGTTTCTATATTGAGGATTATTATAAAGTTTTTAAATCCTACCAAAACTAGTAATAGGAACATATATTATTTATGAGGCATATTACTATTTTACCCTGCCTAAAAATAAATACAAAATAAACTCATCAATTATAAGTTAACAGGGACACAAATGGTTAAAGACTCACAAAAAAAAACAAAACTACATACTTCAATGTAGCAATCAACTTCAAATTTCTTAACAAAAGATAGAAATGTGGGGGAAAAAATTAGTCATCTGGTATCTTTCCCATTTCAACCTGCCTCCATTATCTTGCAAGTGGTAAAACGCACAGAAATAAGCCCCAAACAAGAGGGGCAGTCTAGGGCAAGTGAACACATAAGAAGTCAGAAGAAATTATGTAAAATGTTGCATTTACTTATTCAGTTTTCCCTTAGAATGATTCACAAACTCTTCCTCATTCTCCCAAGTCCATTTTGAGCATCATTTTCTTTGAAGAGAGTCTGATGGGCCCTGTACTATACAGTATGAAATCTCTCTTTGGGAAATGACTATCTAACATAAATTTTTGTTTACACCGTTACATGGTACCTACTTGCTTATGCCATTACATGATCAGTTTACCTTTTTCTCATCCTAATCCAAGATCCTTCAGTTGAGTCACCATACTATCTTTGTATCCAAAGCACCAAAAATGCTGCTTCAAACAGGCCCTAATAGATAGGTGTTCCTATACATATACCAAAAAGACTTAACTTTTGGTGATCTTGTTTGTGAGTGTGGCTCATAAACAGCTTAGCTGAGATAACTGGAGCCTCACATAGCAGAGACAGTTGGACCCTGCTAACATTACTGTGGATATCTTCACATGTTACTACACTGACTTTATATTCTGCTAATTAACCAGGGACTACAGTAGTTAAAATTATAATTGTTTTCAATGTTTTATGTGTAAATCTGTATCTCACATACTATCAAACTCTTCCTCACTGTCATCAGTCTACTGCATTGAATCAACATAACAAATCTAAATGACTTCTGAGGGCTGAATCAGAAAGAAGAAAAGAAAGAGATACAAAACTCTGGCCGGCCCGGTGGCTCACACCTGTAATCCCGGCACTTTGGAAGGCCAAGGCGGGCGGATCACGAGGTCAGGAGATCGAGACCATCCTGGCTGACACAGTGAAACTCCATCTCTACTGAAAATACAAAAAATTAGCCGGATGTGGTGGCGGGCACCTGTAGTCCCAGCTACTCAGGAGGCTGAAGCAGGAGAAGCTTCTAAATAACTCATAAACACTAATTACTGTTGTGACACTTTAATTTTATATAATATTTATAAGTATACAGAATAACATTTCAGTGCTATTTTGGCACTCAAGGGTATTAATGCATTAGAAACACAGAAAAAAATAAATATTTGTCTTCATTGATAAAGTGTAATAACCAGCTTTTACAAAACAGGTAATTTTTTATATTGTAATGCCCAAGGTATCTAAATATGTTTAGTGCATTAACAGAACCCAGAATTAACTGCAAATACACCTTGGTAGTCTAAATGTCCAAACAGAAAGGTCACGTAAATGTCGAAAGAAAAAGTACAATCAATCTGTTGAAAAATGTTTATAACAACTCATTAACATAACTAATTTCTGCTAAATTGTTAAAATCTAAAATCGCTTATTTTGATACCATATGGCAAGTTTTGCAGAAGCCTTTTGCACTAAAAATAATCTTGGCAGATAAAATATAATGAGAGGTAAGTATATAATAACAGAAAATAATTTAAATTGACCAGCTTCTCAATGTCTTTGTCATTTTAGAAACACCAATATGTTCTCTTAATCATATCTGCAATGAAAAATATTATATTAGCTAAACTATTATGAAAAGTACTGGAATATATCTAACATACTAATTTACAATATCATATAAAGATATCAGTGAATAAAAGAAGGAAAATAAAACACTACATTTAGGGGAACGCTTCAAACCCATATGTTACAATTAAATAGCTAATGAAGAGCACTCGGCATTAAAAGAAATTGTTTACTATATATACACAGTCTGGAATGTATCTTCCTAAACCAAATAAAAAGTACTTGTAAAATCATAGACAATATCAAAGAATAGATTTCTACAGGGAACTTCTCAAATGTCAACACTCTTATACACTACACATAAAAGAAATCAAGCAAGTTAAAATATTAATAATATAATAAGTAATATATAATACATAAGTAACAATTACAAAGCAAATTAACATTTGGGGAGGAGGGATAAAGTAAACAGCTCTTGGCCGGGCATGGTGGCTCACGCTTTTAACCCCAGCACTTTTGGAGGCTGAGGCAGGTGGATCATTTGAGCTCAGGAGTTCGAAACCAGCTTGGGCAACATGGTGAAACTCCATCTCTACAAAAAATGCAATAATTAGGTAGGCATGGTGGCATGCACCTATAGTCCCAGCTACTCATGAGCCTGGGGTGGGAAAATTGCTTGAGCCCAGGAGGTTGAGGCTGCAGTGAGCTGTGATCACGCTACTGCACTCTAGCCTGGGCAACAAAAGTGAGAACCTGTCTATAAAAATTAAAAAAAAAAAGCCCTTAAATGGTTTATCAACTAAATGGTTTATTTGAATCAATAATGAAAATTCCTAGACGGCATTTTTTCTTTTTACTTTTATTCATCATTGAAAAGACAGGGAGTAAGAAAAGGAAAAAAGCAACATGTTATAATAATATTTTCCCATATTAATCCAAGAACACAATAACAACAACAAAAACTCAGTTGAGAACTCATATTACCAATTTTAAGAATGAGTCTGAGGAATTTTCAAAACTTTTATTTAATAGATTGAAATAATCTGTCAAAATGTATCTATAAAAAACAGAATGAACAAAATTTCTGAGATTAAAGTTGTATCATAAAAAAATACCAAGAAGTTAAATATTCCACAGTTCATTTAATTAATTATCCAGTATTTATTCTGTACCAACTACAGCAATGGTTTTAGGCTACGTGCTCTAATAAATAAGTATTGTAAGGCTCCCCATGCTCCAAATTTGTTTTTAATCTTCACCAATCTGTTTTTAGTGTTAGGCAACTAGGATTCTCCCAGGATGCAGTAATAAAGAACAAAGATGGAAAGCAAGAGAAAGAGGCAGAATGACATGAAAATCTGATCCAGAAGGTGCAACGTCTGTTTTATATGAGTACCAGAAGGGGAGAAAATAGAAGGGATTATAATCACCAAAATTCTAAAGGAAAAGTTATGTATATATCTAATAATAAAAGCTAACATTTAATTAAGCATAATCCTCATTCAACAGATGAGGAACCTAAAACCCAAAGAGTCATTATCACTGTTCCACTTATCTCTATATCCCTACAAAAATACTCACTCTTGATCTGTAACAATGCCTCCTTAAAATCCCTGAATGGCAGCTTCAGGTAAAAGCTTCCCAGAAAGTTTGAAATAACAAGGATAAAAGGAAAATTCTTGGAGCCACATAAAAAAGAAAACAAATCATTACAAAAAAAGAAGAATCGGGCATCAGTTCTCATTACCAATACTGAATTAAAAAGAAACCCCCAAAAAATCATTATTTTCCTAAGTCTATAAAAAATTATTTAAAACCAAAATTTTAATGTCTGTTAAGCTAACATTCAAGTCCATGGATAGCAAATGCAAATAGGTTAAATTCTCTAGTAAAAGACAGCAACTTTCAAAATATGCAAAATATACTACTTAACACATACACATATTTTACCTGTAACTATACTACAGACTTCATTTATGTATGTGTGTGTGTGTACACATATATAATATAAAATGAATGAAATACTTTGGATATTTGTCCCCGCCAAAATTTCATGTTGAAATGTAATCCCCGATGTTGGAGGTGGGGCCTTATGGGAGGTGTTTGGGTCATGGGGGCAAATCCCTCATGGCTTGGTGCTGTCCTTGCGATAACGAGTGAGTTCTCACAAGATCTGGTTGTTCAAAAGTGTATGGCATCTCCACCCATCTCCTTTGCTCCTGTTCTTGCTATGTGAGATGCCTGCTCCCCTTTCTCCTTCCACCATTATTTCAAACTTTTTTTAAAAATTTATTATTTATTATTATTATCATTATTTTTGAGACAGAGTTTCACTCTGTTGCCCAGGCTGGAGTGCAATGGCCTGATCTCGGCTCACTGCAACCTCCACCCCCCAGGTTCAAGCGATTCTCCTGCCTCAGTCTCCTGAGTAGCTGGGATTACAGGCACCTGCCACCGCACCCGGCTAAATGATTTCAAACTTCTTGAAGCCCTCACCAGAAGCAGATGCCGGCACCACACTTCCTGTACTGTCTGCAGAATCGTGAGCTAATTAAACCTCTTTTTGTTATCAATTACCCAGCGACAGGTATTTCTTTACAGCAACACAGGAACGGCTATATATATATATATATATATATATATATATATATATATATTCATACATATGCACAATGCACAGTGACATACACAATTCAAAAACAGACATGAGGGGACAAAACACAAACGCTATCCAAAAAATGCAGGTATAGCAATAATTGCAAAGAAACAGAATTTAAACTAAAAAGCAGTGAACAAGTCAAAGATAATAATTCATAATAACATAAGTTTTATGTTACAGTGTAAATTCCAAAAGAAGCCATAGTCATTAAAGTTTATACAACTAATAAGTATATGTCACACATAGAAAGTAAAGCTGAGTAGAAATAACATGCATAGATTAGACTTTAACATAGCTCTCAAAACAGGATATTAAGTAGATATGAAATAAATAATAGCAATGATCGGGTTTGATTCAAACAGACACATAAAATACACACAGATCTCTGAATTCCAAAAATAGAGAAAACATTCTATTCAAATGTACATAGAATTTTCAAAAAAAAATTCACATGTATGGTCATAAGGAAATGTCCACATATTTTAAAAAGCAGTTATTTCCTAGGTTATATCCAGTAAAAGCAGATGCGTCCCTAGACCTAATACAATAAAAATTAGAAATTCACAATATAAGGATAAACTCCCAAATCTATCCACTGGCAAAATTTAAAAGTCCTTTCTATATAATGGCAGAGTTTCAATCAAGAAGAAGAATCATGTATTATTTTTAAATGATTAAGAAACATCAAAAAAATCTCTCAGACATGGCAAATGTGGTATTCAGAGGAAAAAATATAGCTTCAAACATGCAAAACGTAAGACTAAAGAATTACAATAAATAATGCCCGATTCAAAAATTAAGCCTATAAGAATCAATATATAATCCATGAGATTCGCAATCTAGGTAAGTAAACCCACCCTAATACTGTGTTTATTAAAATGCTGTTAATGAGATCCGAGGTTTAAACAACTGTTTGCTTTAGAAACTGAAATAAAGCTGACTGAAATAAAACCTAATCTATGAAATTATTCTGTATATGAATTGACCTGAAGTAATGAACAGTTCAATGACTGACTCATGACTCTTGTTCTGGTCCAGGCTAAGCATTCTAGTTGGCATACTATTAAACACACATTTCTGATTGAAACATCTGCTAAAAAAATAACATCAAACGACATTACAAAATCAAAATGGAGACTGCTAAGAGTGGGATTTTTCTCCTGCCAGTATCTTTCCTTTCTGCCACATCCTCCTCCCTGCTGCCACAGCAATCTTTCTAAAGGAATACAAATATATTCTGAATCACACACAAACCCCTCAATACAGAATGTGTGGTAGGCAGTATTCTAAAATGCCCGCATACCACCAACCCACCAAATTTCCTACCCTAATACAGAGGCTGTAAATATGATGAAATATCATGGCAAGGATAATGCCATTAATATATTATATGGCAAAGGAATTCTGCAGATGTGATTAAAGCCACCAATCAATTGCCTTTGAATTAATCAAAAGAGAGATTTGCCTAATCTAATCAAATAACCTCTTTGAAAGCGGAGTTTTCTCCAGCTAGTAGCAAAAGGGAAATTCATAGCAAGGGAACATTTCAATACACTGTTGCTATATTTGAAGATAAAAAGAGCCAGGAGCAAAAACCAAAGAGTGGCCTCTAGGAACTGAGAGTGACCCAAGCCAATAGGCAGTAAGAAAATGGTGAGCTCAGCAGGGTGTGGTGGCTCATGCCTGTAATCCCAGCACTTTGGGAGGCCAAGGCAGGAGGATCACGAGGTCATGAGATCGAGACCATCCTGGCTAACATGGTAAAACCCCGTTTCTACTAAAAATACAAAAAAAAAATTAGCCAACATGGTGGCGCACACCTGTAATCCCAGCCACTTGGGAGGCTGAGGCACGAGAATCACTTGAACCCAGGAGGCAGAGGTTGCAGTGAGCCGAGACTGCACCACTGCACTCCAGCCTGTGCGACAGAGCAAGACTCTGTCTCAAAAAAAAAAAAAAAAAGAAAGAAAAAGAAAATGGCGAGCTCAGCCCTACAACTGCATAGAACTGAATTCCTCCCACACCTGAATGCACCAGAAGAGGATTCACCCCCGGAGCCTCCACCCAGGTAACACCTTGATTTGAATCTTGTGAGACCTTAAACAGAGAGCACAGTTGAGCCTGCCCTGAGTTCTGACCTAAGTAAATGGGTGCTGTTTTAAGTTATTAAGTTTATGGTAATTGCTTTATAATAATAGATAACAAATAGAGCAGCAGCATTTCAAGGCCCTCCATGCTTTGGTCTCTGCCAAATCACTATTAGATTTTTAAGATTTTTTTTTACACATTATACTTACATTACACAATGTCTTAACACTATGAAGTAAAAATGTAAATATTTTAAACTCTGGCTTGGAAATGAGGAGGCAGAATCTCAGAAATTTTCCTAAAATAAAATAGGAGAGGCAAGCTTTCTGAGTCCACAAAAGTGCCCTCTACCTATTGGGTCAAAGAAAAAGTAATTTCTCTATTTGTAACAACATACATAAATTATAAACCCTGAAGAAATAGGTCTCTAATAGCTATAATCTTTAACATAACCATAAATAAAAACATGAATAAATCTGACTACATAAAAATGTAAAAACTTCTATGTGGTGAGAACACACATTACAGAAAAAAAAATCAAATGACAAAAAATAACCTCCAATTTGGATTACAAATATCTAGTATCCTGGATATATACAAATAAAGCATGTAAGTTATAAAAATGAGTATAATTTTAAAATAGACAAGGATACTTTATAGAATTTCATAATTTAAGGAAGACATAAAGTTAGCCAATAAACTATGGGTAATATGCAAGAATCAGTAAGCATTATTATTTGCCAGCAGCTAAGCCAAGTACTTTATAAGAATTACTTTATTCCCATCTATGCCAGGCACAGTGGCTCACGCATGTAATCCCAACACTTTGGAAGGCAGAGGTGGGTGGATCACCTGAGGTCAGGAGTTTTAGACCACCCTGGCCAACATGGCGAGACCACGTTTCTATTAAAAATACAAAAATTAGCTGGGCCTGGTGGCAGGCGCCTTTAATCCCAGCTACTTGGAAGGCTGAGGCAGGAGAATCAGTTGAACCCAGGAGGTAGAGGTTGCAGTGAGCTGAGATCGTGCCACTGCAGTCCAGCCTGGGCAACAGTGAGACTCCATCTCAAAAACAAAAACAAAGAAATTACTTTATTCCCATCTAACCACCACCACTTTAGGTAGATATCACTATTTTTCATTTTACAAATGAAGCAGAGAGGTTAAATTTCCTTGTTCAAGTCCATAGGGTCAGGAAATGAAAAAGGAACTGAACTCAAGGAGTTCATAATTATTTATATACAAGTAATAAAGACAAATTCATCGACTATGGAAATGTACTGAGTATTTTGTCTTGTTTACATAATGGTTTTTATTTAGGTTGTAAGAAAATAACATATAACCAGGCACGGTGGCTCGTGCATGTAATCCCAGCACTTTGGGAGGCCAAGGCAGGTGGATCACTTGAGACCAGGAGTTGGAGACCAACCTGACCAACATGGCGAAACCCCATTTCTACCAAAATATACAAAAATTAGCCAGGCGTGGTGGTGCACGCCTGTAATCCTAGCTACTCGAGAGGCTGAGGCAGGAGAATCGCTTGAACCCGGGAGGTGGAGGTTGCAGTGAGCCAAGATTGCACCACTGCACTCCAGCCTGGGTGACAGAGCTGGACTTTGTCTCAAAAAAATAAAAAATAAAAAAGAAAGTAAGAAAAGAAAGTAGCCACTTTGGGGTTAGAATCCATAAAATACTCTCAGTGTCAACCAAAAGAAATGTACTGCAATGTTCACAGAACACAATTCATAATGACCTCAAATTGAAAGCCCTCAAAATGCCCAACGGTAAAATAAATAAATTATAGTACTCTTAACAACAGAATACTATATATCGATGAGAAAAATAAACGACTGGAAGGAACAATTTGGATTTATCTCACAAATATATACGTGAAAGATGACAGAAAACAGTACTTAGTAGCTCAATTATACGAAGTACAAAGCCAATTACGCAAAGTACAAACATAGGCAAGACTCACTTATGTTGTTACTAGATGATAGTGCATGTCTCTGGGGAGTTAGGAATAGTAACCAACAGGAGGCTTGAATGGAATGTCTGGGGCGCTATTATTTGTTTCCTGATGTGATTTTAGTATATAGGTTCTAATATTTTGGGTATTCCTAGAAATGTGTACCTATTATTCACTTGCTCTATATATATAGCAAAGTGAATTTTATATATAATTCTTCAACATATTTTTAGAAAAATTAAGTTTTTTTAGAAAATTAAGAGAATTTTAGATAAAAACTCAACTTTTAATGGAAAATATTTTCCTTTTTCTTTCTCACATGAAATCCTCTATCAATGTTAGTATCCTACCTGGCATCTCTCCAATACTGGGTTAAGAGTTTTTCTTCTCAAGTAACCTGTATTATATTAAGATGATATTAACTGAAATAATCAGATAGATGAATGCACCATAAAGCTAATTCTAAGATATCTGTCCTTAGCCAAAAGCAGAAAAGGGATACACATAACTTCCACATAAAACATCCACCCCCATTTTTTTGGTTATTCTTAAAAGCTCATAATGTTTACAATGATAAAATTTATTGTTTCAAATTAGGGTTTTTGAAATTGAAATATTAATTTAAACACGTTTGCTTAGCACAACTTTAAAGTTAATAAGAAAACACTGCATATTACAGAAGAGTTAAACACTTCAAAAAGTGGGAAAAAATTTAAAAGCTTTCATTTGAGTAGGAGTAAACACAGACACACTAAGAATCTAGTTGGATACACTTAAATCATGTCTTTTAAGAACATAAGAACAGATTATTTGCTTTCTCTTTAGTCCAAAACCTTGGTGTAATTTTAGTCCAAATTTGAAACTAACAGAAGAATACTCAGCTTCTTAAAAGCTTTATTTCAAGAACAGTAAAAGAACTTCTGGTCTTACAAACATTACACAGATAACACGAGTTTCTCCAAACAGATATATGTAAAAATCTAGTACATATACCCCCAAGTTGAGTCAATAAGGTGAACCAGATTCTGGTTGAATGGAATCCTTGAAATATAACTTTGGTGAACAAACTGTTTGTGTTTTCCACTTTTCTTAAAAAAGAAGTGATAAAGCAGATTTCCAGTACCTGCCAGCTGACAAAATGCTACTTACCAGGTAAAAACCACTACCAAAAATCAGAATCACAGAAGGGCTATCAGTAAAATTATTAATGCCACAAATTAACATGATGTTAACAGCTGAATTATGCATCAAAAGAGTATTTACATAATCACAGCAAATAAATCTTTTACATCACTAGTAAACTCAAAAAAGATAGCAAAAAGCAATAACATTAAATTTCATTATTGATCTACTAGCTTTAACTATTTAATACTAGTACACTTAGTTTTGATTACTTTGAAATTGAAACAAAAACAATAATCTTTTCTTCTTTTAATGACTTTTTCAGTTATAGGAAAGATGATATTAAAAGAAAATATACAACTATAGCTTAGCTACAGGTATAAAATTGTTTTAAAGATATGTAATTGTGCTATTGAATTAAACTGAAAACATAAATATCAACTCATGATTTTGAAAAAAAAAATCTTTTTTATGTTTGGTTTTGGTAAAAGGAGAGAAAAATAAGTCAGAAGAACAGAAAATACAGAAATAGGCAAACTTTCCCATATTCAATTAATTTTTGAGCAAGGGGCCAAGATAATTCAAGAGAGCAATAAATAATCTTTTAGAATGATGCTGGAACTGCCAAATAATTCATATGGAAAACAAAGAAACATGAATCTTATCTTGTATTCTCTTATCATATGTGTAATTTAACCATAAATGGATTTTTTAAACCTACAAGTAACACTGCGGCAAGCAAAGATTTTTTAATAAAGCATAAAGAGCATATTTTTTTCAACTTCCAAAAAATTAACAAATGACAGATGTCATCAAAATGAAACCCTCTGCTGTTCAATAAACATTGCTAAATAAATGAAAACAAGTCACACATTAGGCAAAAATATTTATAAAATGCATCTCCAATAACTGACTTCTGTGAATAATATATAAAAAAACTTACAACTCAAGAAGATGACTAGCAAATCAATTGGAAAAAAATGGTGGTAGAGACAAAATACTTTAACAGACATGTCACCAAAGATACACAAATGGCAAAAAAAGACATAAAAAGAGGCTCAATCTAATTAATCATCAGAGAATGCAAAATCAAACCCACAATAAATTGTCACTAAATGCCAACCAGATGGCTAAAATTTAGAAACAGTGGCAATATCTAGTGCTGGCAACAATGTACAGCAAATGGAACTCTCAGATCTCTAGAAATGGAAAAGTATACAGACACTTTTTAAGAAACTGTGAAACTGTTTTCCAAAGTTAAGAATATTATTTCCAACAAGTCAGAAATTCCAGTCCTAGGTATTTACCCAAGAAACATGAAAAGATACATCTACAACGAAGCATGTTACATAAATGCTCACAGCAGCTTTATATACTGGACAAAAATTGAACGAAACTTAACTGTAAGCTAGTGAATGGGCCAATCTCAAAACGATTATGCTAAGCCAAAAAAAAAGGCAGACAGAAAAGATTCTATACTGTATGGTTCCATTCATATATTAGTCTAGAAAAGGCAAAACTATAGGAAAGCAACAGATAGGTGATTGCCAAGAGCTGGATTTGGGAGGTAGGCAGTAACTTCAAAAGGTCATGAGTGAATTTATGCGTAAAGGGTCTATTCTGTATCTTGACTATGATGGTAATTACATGACTGTTCATATTTACCAAATCACATTCAATACACACCTTAGAAAGGGTGAATTATAGTGTATGCAAAATATACCTTAACAAAACAATGACTCTCACACATAAATTTATTTATTTATTGGGTAACAGCACAGGGACTAATATCAGAATAACTCTCCTAAAATGTCTCAAATCTGAAGAAAATGGAAAAGCTAACTAATTGAAGTTACCTGTAAATAACCAAAAACTGGCTGGAATGGGAGGACATTTTACCCTTGGAAAAAAAGCGGAATATCATTGGCTAAAATCTATATTTAAATAGAGTTTC
The DNA here is from genome assembly GCF_000001405.40 of Homo sapiens. NCBI lineage: Eukaryota > Metazoa > Chordata > Mammalia > Primates > Hominidae > Homo > Homo sapiens. The sequence goes on from NC_000022.11 coordinate 10,764,829, forward strand.
AGTCTGGGCGCGATGGCTCCTGCCTGTAATCCCAGCACCCTGGAAGGCCGAGGAAGGTGGACCACCTAAAGCCAGGATTTTGAGAGCAGTCTAGCCAACATGGCGAAACCCCACCTCTACTAAAAATACAAAAATTAGCTGGGTGTGGTGGTGGGCACCTTATAGTCCCGGCTACTTGAGAGGCTGAGGCACGAGAATCGCTTGAACCTGGGAGGTGGAGGTGGTTGTGAGCCGAGATCGCGCCATTGCACTCCAGCCTGGGCGACAGAGACCCTGTCTCAAAAGAAAAGAAAAGAAAATTCTACAACTAATAAGTATAGTACTTTCAAAGAAAATTTTAGTGGATGGGCTTAACAAGAGATTGGTAGAAAATTGGTCCATCTCCTTGAAAATACATGAATAGTGTATCTATTCTGAGGAACTAAAAGTAAAAACACTGGGAAGAAGACGAACAGACCCTCAGTAACCTACAAAATATCAAATATACTAACATTCATGTAATTAGAGTTACAGAGGAAGAGGAGAGAGAAATGAGACAGAAAAAGAATAAGAAATAAAAGTCAAGCTTTTCACAAATTTGGTGAAAAATATCAACTTACACTTTCAAGAAGCTCAGCAACCCCCAAGCAGGATGAATACAAAGAAAACCACACCTAGGCACATCATAGTCAGACTGCTGAAAACCAAATATAAAGAGAAAATCCTGAAAGCAGCCAGAGAATATCAAAACATTACTATATACATGGGAATAATGATACTACTGACACCACACCTGACTTCTCATTAGAAACCATGGAAGACAGGAAACAATGCAACATCTTTTAAATGCTTGAAGAAGAAAAACATAATCATCCCAGAACTCTATATTCACGGAAAAAAAGGCAAAAATGCATGCAGACTTCCACTTCCAGACAAAATGCAGAAAATGTACTTTTCCCTGTTCTTTCCACTAAATACAGCTTTAAAAACCCTTGGCCGTGATACATAAGACAAACAAAGGAAGACAACAAAATGTAGAGAGAGGGCAGACCAATTAGGGCTTCAGGTGCCAAGAAACACAAGAGGATGAATTCCCTAGGTTTCCTTTCTGACTCATATATACAAGAAAAGTTGCTAGAGAAGCAGACAACTCAGAAACACCAACAGGCACACACATACGTAAAACTCCAAGAAAATTCTGCTGTCTCTTGTCAAAAAAGCAGGGAAGCAGCAGGCTACCAAGAAAAAAAAAACTCACAGACAACAACCAACCAGTTTAAGCCAAAGGGTACAAATAAAACCCCAAGCCATATACCTTTTGCAAAGACTTAAAAGGAGGACATAGTCAGCCATTCCCCACTCCTACCCACAGACAACATGATACCACAGCAGGCCAAGTGGGGACACAGGACACTCATACCCACTGAGCAGTAATGCAGCTTCCTCCCTCTAGAGTGTGAGTGGAAAAAAAGTGGGGAGCCTGAGTTCAACACCCACCCAATGATAAGGACATATCCCTATCCCTCCCTCTACAGAGATATGACAGCAGAGGCCTACTGGAGAATCCAAACTCAAAGCAATGCTCAGTGATAACTTAACCACCCCTCCATCCCAGTGTCAGTGGAGGCCAAGTGAAAAGCAGGAACCTTTTGAGCCAGGGTGGTATTCACAAAGGTATAATGCAAGTCCAGAGTTTTCATTCCTACTCAGCATTTACTAGGTGTACGTCTCCATCAATGAGTCAACAAAGGCCTACTATGAAACTGGAATCTTCACATACACCTGGAAGTAGTAACAAGGCTATGCCCCACCTCCACCCCAAAAGCAAAGTTTCAGATAAATCCTACTAAAAGGGGGGATTTAAATAAAATGCAGAGCTTCATAACACAACACTTAAAATGCAAAGGATTCAACCAAATATAACATGTCATACCATACTAAGAACCAGGAAAATCTGAACAGGAATTTGAAAATATAGTCAAAAGGTGCAAACAATGAGAATTCATAGATGTCATAATTATCTATCAAAGATTTTAAACTATATATTATAAAACTGCTTCAACAAGCAATTACAGCCTGACACAGTAGCTCAGGCCTGTAATCCCAGCACTTTGGGAGGCAGAGGTGGTTGGATCACTTGAGGTCAGGAGTTCGAGACCAGCCTGGCCAACATCGTGAAACCCCATCTGTACTAAAAATACAAAAATTACCCAGGCACGGTGGTTCACGCCTGTGATTCCAGCTACTCGGGAGGCTGAGGCATGAGAATCACTTGAACCCAAGAAGCAGAGGTTGCAGTGAGCTGAGATCATTCTACTGCATTCCAACCTGGGCAACAGAGCAAGAGTCTGCCTCAAAAAAAAAAAAAAAAAAAAGCAATAACAAACATAATTTTGAAACAAAGGAAACAATACAAAGTTTCGCAAAGAAATCAAGAAAGAAACAAATACCAAGTTGAAAATTAAAAAATATTCTAGCAATAATAAAATACAAACTAAGCTGAACAACAAAATGGGGGAGATTACCCAACCTAGAGAAGAAAATGAACTGATTAAAAAAAAAAAGTGGCCAGGTGCGGTTGCTCAGGCCTGTAATCCTAGCACTTTGGGAGGCCGAGATGGGTGGATCACCTCAGGTGAGGAGTTCAAGACCAGCCTGGCCAACATGGCAAAACCCTGTCTCTAATAAAAATACAAAAATTAACTGGGCATGGTGGCACACACCTATAAATCCAGCTACTCAGGAGGCTGAGGCAGGAGAATCACTTAGACCCAGGGGCGGAGGCTGCAGTGAGCTGAGATTGTACCACTTCACTCCAGCCTGGGCAAAAGAGCAAAACTCTGACAATAAATAAACAAATAAATATATATATATATTTTAAAAAAAGGCATTAAAGACACTTGTGGTACTATAATAAATGATGCAACATTCCTGTCACTGGAATCTCAGAAAAAGAACATGATGCAGCTGAACAATTATTCGAAGACCCACAGATTCAAGAAATTGAATAAATCCTAAGAGGATACACACAAATAAATCAATGCTAATTTATATCATAAACTTCTGAAAACTAATGACTAAACTTAAAAACCTTGAGATAAATAAGAGAAATGACACCTTATCCACAGATGAAAAACAACTCAAATGACAGCAGATTTCTCACCTGAAACCATGGAGGCCAGAACAAAGCAGCGTAACATTTTTGTAAGTCCTAAAAGAACTGACAACAAAGAATTCTATATCCAGCAAAAACATCCATTAGTAATGAAAGGGAAATCAAGAAATTGTGAGATGAATGAGAACTAAAAATTAGTCATGAGACAAAACTACACCAAAAGAATAGTGAGAAAAGTTATTGAACCAGAAAGGAGAATGATAAAAAGAAGGATTCTTAGAACATCCTGAAGGAAGAAAGAACAAACAAATAGTAAAACTATGGGCAATAAAACAGACTTTACTCTTCCTTGAGTTTCCAAAATAATGTTTAACAATTGAAGCAAAAATTGTTACATGATGCAAAAGCTATGGTGGGTAAAACTGTTGATGCATTTCCAAAACTGAAGGCAGCTGGCACCAAGCTGTATTAGAAGTTGTCACATTCTCAACTGGCACTACAACTACAGTAAAAATAATGTAGAGTATCATTGAGAATATCACTGATGAAGCAGCAAAAATCTTTAATGTTTTAAGTCTTGATCCATGAATACACATCTTTTAATTATCTATGTGACAAAATGAGAAATGAAGCGTAAAATAATTGTTACACCACAGTTTTTCTTGAGGAAAGAATTTGTGATCATGTGATTTATAAACTAACTGCTTTTTTAATGGAACACTGTTTTTACATGTAAGAACAACTAAGAAACCACAATTATTAAAACTTGATTATCTGACATATTTCTTCAAAAATGAATAAAGTGAGCCTGTCACTTCAAGGAAAACAACTTAGAACATGAGTGGACAATAAGAAGATTTGAAAAACTTACAACCAACAATGTAAGCTTAACTAATTCCAATACTTAAAGACTATTCTGATGAGATCAGTCGATTATAACAAATGTGAATTTTGTTATTAACTAAAAATGTGTAGGACTAGGTAAGCTGGCTCACACTTGTAATCCCAGCACTTCGGGATCACTGGAGGTCAGGAGTTCAAGACCAGCCTAGACAACATAGTGAAACCCCATCTCTACTAAAAATATGAAAATTAGCTGGGCCTGGTGGTGCATGCCTATAGTCCCAGCTACTCAGGAGGCTGAGGCATGAACATCACCTGAACCCAGGAGACGGAAGTGAGCTGAGATCGCACCACTGCATTCCAGCCTGGGCAACAGAGTGAGATTCTGTCTCAAACAAACAAAACAAAACAAAACAAACAAACAAAAACAACCGTATCAATAGTTGGAATATCTGGATCACTCAGTGAACCTATATTTTCCAAAGACCACTTAGTAATCTTATAAAATCATATATGGGTAAAAGATCCCCTGAAATTGCAAGGTAGTCTAATAAATTATATATATATATATATATATATATATATTTTTTTTTTTTTTTTTTGTCTGAGATAAAGTCTCACTCTGTTACCCATGCTGGAGTGCAGTGACACAATCTCGGCTCACTGCAACCTCCACCTCCTGGGTTCAAGAGATTCTCTGCCTCAGCCTCCCCTGTAGGTGGGATTGCAGGTGCCTGCTACAATGCCTGGCTAATTTTTGTATTTTTAGTAGAGACGGGGTTTCACAATCTTGGCCAGGCTGGTCTTGAGCTCCTGACCTCGTGATCCACCCACTTCAGCCTCCCAAAGTGCTGGGATTACAGGCGTGAACCACTGTGCCCAGCCCATAAATTATAATTTTAAAGGGTAAAGATATAAAGTTCATTGATGGGATTGCAGTCTTCAGATTGCACCAAACCACTTGAAAAACTTGAGAAACTACCACTTCTCAAGCTTTGTTTTAGTATCAAACAGGAATATTCATTAGGGCTTGTGCTTTCATTCTTACAGTATATTTTAATAAACAGAAGTTATTTCTCAAATGTAGTTGAATGCTCCAATATTTTCCTTTACGTTCAGTGCTGTATCTCAAGAACTCTTTTACAAAAATATTATCCTATATTATCTTTTTAAGTATAAATAAAAATAATTATCTTTTTAAAAGCTTATGAGTTTAGGTGGAAATATGAAGGGCCAAAAGGAATTGGAAGACATTTTCTTACTATTTGTTCTTTCTCTTGATTTTCATGATTCATTATTCTTGTAGAAGTGACCTTACCACAGTATAAGGTTCACTTATAATCACTGTTCTGCCTTGTAATTTTAGGTGAATTTGTTATAAAATATTATGAAATCTATAGGAAAAGCCAACTTTCAAAGCTATTAAGCATTTGACTTAACAGTTGAGGGCAATATTATTCAGAAAAATTTCAATCTCATTCTTCAGCGCAAAAAACTGAAATAAAACTTTACCACTGCCAAGTCATTAAATTGCTATGTAGAATGGCAATTCAGTATATTCTGCCTCTATATCTAACAAAAATTCATAGGATTTGATGATGAAGTCCACAAATGCAAGTCAAAATCACTGCTGACACTATTATATAATAGTTCACTAAAACATGACAGATTTAAATATTTTCTGCAAAGTACCTGCTAATAAATAATACAATAAATAATCAGGCTTTAAACACCTGACATTTAACAAGCTTTGTAAATTTGTCCAACTCAAGTCTTTCTGCTCCACAGTTATTTTTGCCACTATCAACTGTAACACATCTTAGCGGATTCCACTTCAGGTTGTACTAAGTTAGTGTTTGCTCAACTTTTCTGAAAATATTTTCTCTTGTAGTTGTTTCACATAGACTATGCATAAACACTAATTCTTCAATCACTTCAAACTCAGCACTGACTTCTGGAATATGTAACAACTGAACAGTACTGGTAACACCTATTCATCCATCAAAAGCCTAAGAAAACCATGAAAAATCATTCACCTTTCTTTCCAAAATGACTTGATATTACTCCCAATGTCCTTAACTTTTAGAGCAATTACTCTCGCTGAAAGGCTAATAGTCTTTTTTAAAGTTTATTTTCTATGGACACATCTTTGGTTACCGTAATTAAACATAATTTAATTAACTACTGTTGGTAATGGTTTTCCTTGCTTGGCTAACAAATAAGCCATTGAAAAAACTTACTTTAATTATAGCCTAATTTCCATTTTTTGTTTTTGAGAAGAAATTCTGCTGTGATAAAATTTTGTTTTAATTTACTATTTTTTTTCTTACCTTTTAGTTTTATTCCTGTTGGTTGGGAATATTGTGAGAAGTGCCCAGTCTGGCAATGTTGACATATATTATATTCTTTTAGCACAGCCATAGTCTTCTAGCATAACAAATATAATGCTTTGCTATCTAATTTGTTAATAATAATATACATTCCACTATGCTTCTAAAGTGTTACATATAAAGTCCACTTTTCTCCTTTTCTTGTTTTAACATGATAGGTAAGTATGCACTGGTAATGAGAGAAATAAATAAGATGCCAGGGCAATATGTGTGGTGCACACACACACACACATACTGACAAACAGTAACTATGTCATTGTGATTCGTAGCATGCAGAGCAGCAATTTGAAATATATGTGCTCTCTGCAGCAACCAACTCTGACACTGTAGTGCAATGGAAGTCATATATAATGCCCAAACAATTCAGGGAAAGGAAAAGTCACGTGCCTCTCATTTTAACTGAAAAGCTACAAATGATTAATCTTAGTGGGGAAGGAATATCAAAAAGTGAGAAAGGCCTAAAGCTAGGCCTCTTGTACCACTCAGCCAATTATGAATGTAAACGAAAAATTCTTGAATAAAATTAAAAGCACTATGTCAGTGAACATGAAACAATCTTATTGCTAATATGAAGAAAGTTTTAGTGGTCCATATGAAAGATCAAACCAGCCACAACATTCCCTTAAGCAAAAAGCCTAATCCACAGCAAGGCTCTAACCTTCTTCAGTTCTATGAAGGCTGAGAGAGGTGAGAAAACTGCAGAAGAAAAACTGGAAGCAAGTAGAGGTTGGCTCATGAGGAAAAATGCTCTTGTCATAACATAAAAGTGGAAAGTGAAGCAGCAAGTGCTGACATGGAAGCTGTAGCAAGTTATCCAGAATATCTATCTAAGATCATTGCTGGAGGTGGCTATACTAAACAAGGTGTTTTAAGTAGACAAAAGAGCCTTCCATTAGAAGAAGATGCCATCTAGGACTTTCACAGCTAGAGAGGGAAAATCAATGCCTTGCTTCAAAGGTCAGGCTGGGGCCACACCTGTTATTCCAGCACTTTGAGAGGCCAAGGTAAGAGAATCACTTGAGCCCAGGAGTTCAAGGCCAGCCTGGACAACAAGGTGAGACTCTTGTCTCTTTTAAAAATAAATAAATAAATAAATAAATAAATAAATAAATAAATAAAAACTGACTCTCTTGTTAGGGACTAATGCAGCTGGTAACTTGACGTTGAAGCTAATGCTCATTTGCCACTCAAAAAGTCCTAGAGCTCTTAAGAATTATGCTATATTTAATCTGCTTGCTATCTACATATGGAACAACAGTCTCCTGGATGACAGCACATCTGTTTAGAGGTTGGCTTACTGAATATTTTCAGTCCGCTGTCAAGACCTACTGCTAAGGAAAAAACATTCATTTCAAAATATTAGCACTCACTAACAATGGACCAGGTCATTCGAGGGCTTTGATGGATATGTTCAGAAAGAAGAATGTTACTTTCATGCCTGCCAGTACAATACAACATCTATCCTGCAGCCCATGCATCAATGAGTAATTTCAATTTTTAAGTCTTACTGTTTAAGAAATACATTTCAGCCAGGCACGGCAGCTCATGCCTGTAATCCCAGCACTCTGGGACGCCAAGGCAGGAGGATCACTTGAAGCCGGGAGTTCAAGAACACCCTGGCCAACATGGCAAAACCCCATCTCTACTAAAAATACAAAAATTAGCCAGGCGTGGTGGCACGCACCTGTAGTCCCAGATACTCGGGGGGCTGAGTCAGGAGAATCGCTTGAACCGGGAGGCAGAGGTTGCAGTAAACCAAGATCGCACCACTGCACTCCAGCCAGGCCGAGAAAGCGAGACTCCATCTCAAAAAAAAAAAGTGATTCCTGTAGTAGATTTGGGCAAAATAAACTGAAAACCTTCTGGAAAGGCTTCACCACCGTAGATGTCATTAAGAACATTCATAATTCATGAGAGGAAGTCAAAATATCAACATGAACAGGTGTTTGGAAGAAGTTGATTCCAACTCTCACGGATGACTTTGAGAGGTTCAAGACTCAAGTGGAGGAAGTCACTGCAGATGTAGTGGAAACAGCAAGAGAATTAGAAGTGGAGCCTGAAGATGTGACTGAATTGCTGCAATCTCATGATAAAACTTGCACAGATTAGGAGTTGTTCCTTACAGATGACCCAAGAAAGTGGTTTCTTAAAGATGGAAACTACTCCTGGTGAAAAGGCTGTGAAATTATTGAATGACAACAAAGGATTTAGAATACTATATAACCTTAGTTGTTAAAGCAGTGGCAGGGTTTGAGCTGACTCCAATTTTGAAAAAAAGTTCTACTTTTGGGTAAAAAATGCTATCAAACAGCATCAAGTGCTACAGAGAAATCTTTCATGAAAGAAAGAGGCAATCAATGTAGCAAACTTCATTGTTGTCTTATTGTAAGAAACTGCCAGAGGCACCCCAACCTTCAGCAATCACTGCTGGGATCAGTCAGCAGCCACCAACATCCTCTATCAGCAAAAAATCTTACAATTTACTGAAAGCTCAGATGATCAGTAGCATTTTTTAACAATAAAGTATTTTTAAATTAAAGTATGCACATTGGTTTTTTAAATATAACGCTATTGAACATTTAATAGACTGCAGTAGAATATAAACATAATATTTACATGCACTGGTAAACCAAAATATTTGTGTGCCTTGCTTTATGGTGATATTCACTTTATTGTGGTAGTCTATAATGGAACCTACAGTATCTCCAAGGTATGCCTGTATTTACTTTGGTACCAATTCTAGATATACATCTGCATATACCTGGGTATTTAACTTCCTGGTCTCATGTTCCTTAAATAGTTAATAAGAAAGAGTAATTATGAACCATGCAGACCAATTAACAAGCCTAACTTCCAATATTTTCTTCACTCTGAAATAAGTATTTCCAACAGTGTATTATGTCAGAAGTTCTCGGTTTTGGGGGTGCTGTATCTTAATTTTTCTGTACTCTAGTTTCAACTTCACTGACATAATACAAGCTCTATCTTCCTTACAAATTTATAAGGAATCAAATGAAATGAAATATATAAAAGTTGTCCTCTTTCTCCCATCTTCAAAAAACTTCCCCCTGCATTTCATTTCCTGTTAGCCCTCTCTCCTTCAACAGCCTGGTCTGTAGAAAGAGTCCATACATGGCCTCCCTCCACTCCCTCATCTTCCATTCACTCCTTGTTCCAAGGCCCTCCCAACACCACTGCAACTTTTTTCAATGCCCTTTTTTTAATTTTTTTTTTAAAAGCAAATTCTGCCCCCAACTTTTCATTCTTTCAGTTGAACTACTTTTTCCAAAACACTGCAGATGTAAAAAATACGTAGTTAAGGCCAGTGTCCAGTGGCTCATGCCTGTATTCCCAGCACTGTGGGAGTCCAAGGCAGGAAGATCACAGGTCTGGAGTTCAAGACCAGCCTGGTCAACATAGTGAAACCTCAGCTCTACTAAATATACAAAAATAAGCCAGGCATGGTGGCAGGCACCTGTAATCCCAGCTACTCAGGAGGCTGAGGCAGGAGAATTGCTTGAACCCAGGAGGCAGAGGTTGCAGTGAGCCAAGATCGCACCACTGCACTCTAGCCTGGGCAACAGAGCCAGACTCTGTCTCAGAAAAAAAAAAGGGTAGCAAAGGAAAAAAAAATAGGTCAGTGTTTAGAAAGGATACAACTATATCATGTCTTTTACATATTTTACATTTTGTATTGGTCTAGAAGTTGAAAATATGTGCCCAAAACAACTATACAACTTGAGCAATGATTTTAAAACAAATATGACACTTTATATTAGAAGTAGAACATATTTATTCAGAAACATATACTATTAGTTACATTTAAAATTTATCGTTAGAATACACTGTTTCCAAATCAACAGTCCTTACAAAACATGGAACATATACTTCTGTACTATTTAGCTTTACTTTTGTAATAGTGGCCAAGGTGGCCGGGTGGGGTGGCTCACGCCTGTAATCCCAGCACTCTGGGAGGCCGAGGCGGGTGGGTCACAAGGTCAGGAGTTTGAGACCAGCCTGGCCAATATGGTGAAACCCCATTTCTACCAAAAATACAAAAATTAGCTGGGTGTGGTGATGTGTGCCTGTAATCCTAGCCACTTGGGAGGCTGAGGCATGAAAATCGCTGAATCCAGGGAGGCAGAGGTTGCAGTGAGCCAAAATTGTGCCACTGCACTCCAGCCTGGGTGACAGAGTGAGACTCCATCTCAAAAAAGGAAAAAAAAATAGTGGCCACGGTGGATTTTGTACTCTGAATATAAACTATATAGTTTATACTACACATATGTCTGCTTATAAACTAGGCACTACTGCTTCAATATATTAAAAAAAATTATTCTAGAAGATAGTTTATCGTACTCAGGGTTCCCCCCACCTCTAGCTGCAGACCAATACCAGTCAGTAGCCTGTTGGGAACCAGACCTCACAGCAGGTGAGCGGCAGGCAAGCCAGCATTAACCTGAGCTCGGCCTCCTCTAGATCAGCAGCGGCATTAGATTCTCATAGAAGCACAAACCCTATTGTGAACTGCACAAGCAAGGGACCTAAGCTGTGTGTTTCTTATGAGAATCTAACTAGTCTAACTAATGCCTGATAATCTAAGGTGGAAGAGTTTCACCCCAAAACCATCCCCTCCCTGCTCCCGGGGTCTGTGGAAAAAACTGTCTTCCACAAAACTAGTCCCTGGTGCCAAAAAGTTTGGAGACCACTGACATAAACTACAAGGTTTTGTTAAAAAAAAAATGTAGCCAATGTCCCTTGAGGGTTAATATCAAATATCTTAGAATAGGTAACAGTCTAATATGAATTTAATTGTGAACATAATGAAGTTAATTCTACACTATCTGAAAAATAGTTTCACTTAACATGTATCTAATTCATCAAACTGGGTGGGTTTCTTTTTTTTTTTTTTTATTTTTGAGACACAGTCTCCCTCTGTTACCCAGGCTTAATGTTACCCAGGCTTAAGTGCAGTGGCGCCATCTCAACTCACTGCAGTCTTGACCTCCAGAGCTCAACCTGATCCTTCCACCTCAGCCTCCCAATTAGCTGGGATCACACAAGAATGTGCCATCACACCTGGCTAATTTTTGTATTTTTTGTAGGGACAGGGTCTCACTATGTTGTCCAGGCTGGTCTTGAATTCCTTACCTCGAGTGATCCACCTGCCTCAGCCTCCCAAAGTGCTGGGATTAGAGGTGTGAGCCACCAAGACCCACCTTAAAACAAGTTCTTTGAAAACATACTTGCTACGCAATAGTTATGAGCTTTTTAAAAAATTTCTTCTAATATCATTAAATTCTGGCAATCAGATTTTCAGAATATGTTAAAATGCTGGTTAAGTGGGCCAGGTGCAGGGGCTCACGCCTGTAATCCCAGCATTTTGGGAGGCCGAGGCAGGCGGATCAGGAGGTAATGAGATCGAGACCATCCTGGTTACCACAAAGCGAAAGCCCATCTCTACTAAAAATACAAAAAAAAAAAAAAAAATTAGCCAGGTGTGGTGGCAGGCACCTGTAATCCCAGCTTCTTGGGAGGCTGAGGCAGGAGAATTGCTTGAACCCAGGAGGCGGAGCCTGCAGTGAGCTGAAATCCTGCCACTGCACTCCAGCCTGGGCGACAGAGCAAGACTCCGTCTCAAAAAAATAAAATAAAATAAAAATAAATAAAATAAAATGCTGGTTAAGTGACCAGAGGTTTTATTTCTTGGGGTTTTTTTTAATCATCATGGAATTAAACACACATGAAGAAATCTGTTGAAACCCCTCAAACTTGCAATGCTATACCTGAATCAGTGTTCTTTCAGAGACTTTTCAAATTATACAAATATTTCAAAATGCTGAGTTACTCTACTATAGCTAATAAAACTACTTAAACTAAGTGGAAAACCTTGAGAACTAAAGGGGGAGGGGATATTATTTATTCTCATTACTCTTAAATCAACCAACTTCCAAATCCAGAACATAAAACTTTTATGATTATTTGTTCTTTCCCTGTTTACAAACCTAGTTCTGATTTCATTATTAAAAATACAGGCCAGGCACGGTGGCTCATGCCTGTAATCCTAGAACTTTGGGAGGCCAAGGCAGACAGATCACGGATCAGCAATTCAAGACCAGCCTGACCAACATGGTGAAACCCCGTCTCTACTAAAAACACAAAAAATTAGCCGGGCGTAGTGGCTGGCACCTGTAATCCCAGCTACTTGGGAGGCTGAGGCAGAAGAATGGTGTGAACCCAGGAGGCGGAGCTTGCACTGAGTCGAGATTGCACCCTCACACTCCAGCTTGGGCGACAGAGGAAGACTCCGTCTCAAAAAAAAAAAAAAAAAAAAAAGCCAGTCGTGGAGGCACACCCCTGTAATCCCAGCTACTCGGGAGGCTGAGGCAGGAGAATCGCTTGAACCTGGGAGGTGGAGGCTGCAGTGAGCCGAGACAGTGCCACTGCACTCCAGCCTGGGTGACAGAGCAAGACTCCATCTCAAATAAAATAATTTTTTTTAGTTTTTTAATTTATATGTATTACATATATTATATTATAAATATTATATATATTATGTATAATTTTTATGTATGAGATTATGTATATATGTATATGTATATGAGATGTATATATAATATATACATGTCAGCCGGGCCCAGCGACTCACGCCTATAATCCCAGCATTTTGGGAGGTTAAGGTGGGTGGATCACTTGAACCCAGGAGCTCGAGATCAGCCTGGGCAACATCGAGAGATGCCGTCTCTACAAAAAATAAAAGATAAAAAAATTAGCTGGTGGTGATGGCACATCCCCGCGGCCCCAGCTACTTGGGAGGCTGAGGTGGAAGGATCACTGGGGTCGGAAGGTCGAAGCTGCAGTGAGCCAAGATCTCACTCCTGCACTTCAGCCTGGATGACAGAGCGAGACCAAGTCTCAAAAAAAATATATATATATATGGTGTGTGTATATATGTATATGTGTGTATATGTTTATATATATGTGTATGTGTGCATATGCACACAATTCTCTATAACTAGTGCTATCATACTTAATGCTTTAATAAGGTTAACTACATAATAAATACAATCGTTCATTTTGTCTTTAACAGTACAATCCAACTCAAGTCGTCTTTCCAAACCAGATACAAAAATATCCTATGATATTTTTGTATCAAATATAAACTTTTTGTATCAAACAAAAACTTTTTTTGTATCAAACAAAAACTTTTTATCCTTAGGGTATTTTGGGGTTCTGGCCGTTTGTTGTGCCAGATATAATACCACTTGATAACACTTTCAGCTTCATCCCATCCCATCCTGCAACAATGTTTTCAGTAGGGCGGGATCCGTGGCTCCCAATCAAGTCCTGACAACCTGATCTCATGGCAGGGCCCACACAAGAAAAAAAAAAAAAAGAGAATTTTATTTCGTGCAACTTTTATGGCCCTGAGAATCTCCGACCCCCAACCCCCTCAACACACAATCAATCAATTGATCTCCCTCTCCCTCCCTCTCTCCCACCTCCACACCATCTATGAGAAAGAGGACGGGGAAGAAGGTGGAAGAAAAGGCACGAGAAGAGAAAGTAGATCTGATGTAAAGCAGGCACCTAAAAAAGGTGGGATGGATTTCTCCAAAGCCCAGAACAGGGACGCTGCTACAGACAGCCAGTGGAGAATGCCTCTAAGATTAACGCTTTAGTAACCACTTACAAGAACTTCCCCTGTCTACTGCTTAATTTCAAATAACCCAACAGGTCCATTTAATTACTTTGTATTATTTAAAAACATCTAGGATTTCTTTAAATAATAAAAGGGAAACAAATGCGTTTTAACATCATTTTGCATCACAATGTTAAAAACTTGGGTTAACTCCCTCAGTAAATCTTTAAATCCTTTCCAATCTACTATCTCTGGCCAGGAAGTCAAAACTTAAATATTAACCAACTAAAATGATCTTCATACTCTGGTCAATTTTGCAGAGCTAAAAATTTAAATAAATAAATAAATAGATCTTCAATGTGTATCAAGGATGTCCTACTTGGTCCTCACTCTCCCAAACAGAGCTTATTTTCTTCCATTTAACAAAGGAAAATTTTCATTTAAACAATTCTAATGAAGATGTTGCAACCTGGCCAAGAGCAGTGGCTCATGCCTGTAATCCCAGCAGTTTGGGAGGCCAAGGCAGGCTGATCACTTGAGGCAAGAGTTTGAGACCAGTCTGGCCAACATGGTGAAACCCGATCTCTACTAAAAATCCAAAAATTAGCCGGGCATCATGGCGGGAACCTGGAATCCCAGCTACTCAGGAGGCTGAGGCAAGAGAATGGCTTGAACCCGGGAGGCGGAGGTTGCAGTGAGCTGAGATCCTGCCACTGCACTCCAGCCTGGGCGACAAAGCAAGACTCCCTCTCAAAAAAATTTTTTTTAAATGTTGCAAACAATTTTTCTTCCTCATATTTATAGATGTTTATCATGGTTTTTCTTAAAAGTTTTTTAAACCACCTTTTCCAAACCTCAAAACAAGCATCTATAATTATAGACAATTATTCTCCTGGCTCCATAAACAATTCTATTTTTCCTTCTCCAACTTTCTAATCCTCTCATGAAGCTGGCCAAATGTATTCTACTCCTGACACCAAACAACAAAAAAAGAAACACGTAACTGCAGCCTACTTCTTTTGTTTTAATAAACGAATAAACTAGCTTAAGTGAACAGTGGTCTTGGATCACATAAGAATTTCAAAATAAATGATTTAAACACTTCAAATATTGTGGGGGGAGGAGGATGGTGCTGGTAAATAAGGGTCAAGTTCTGACTTTCTTATTGAGGCCAAGGTCAAGAAATTACTTTATTCAGATCTATAAAATCTTACCAACTCAGAATCCTGATTATAGATTATCATCTCCTACTCAATACTTTCCAAATCTACAATGATACAGGAATCCCACTAAAATTCAGAATAATTAAAAGGAGTTAAGATTTAAGACATAACCAAAAACCAGCCCCTCTCTACAAGGCAGTTGACTGTACAGTTCATGCTTGTATACAGATGGACAGACTAAGAACCAACTCTACACTTCTGAGAAAAAAACAAAACAAAACTAACAATGTAAATCTATTCTTTCATTATAACAATTTCTTTTTTCGGAGACAGGGTCTCACTTTGTCTAGGCTGGAGTGCAGTGGTGCGATCTTACCTCACTACAGCCTCGACCTCCTGGGTTCATGTCATCTTCCCACCTCAGTCTCCCGAGTAGCTGGGACTACTAATGCGGGCCACCATAGCTGGATAATTTACATATTTTTTGTAGAGACAGGGTTTTGTCATGCTGCACAGACTAGTTGAGCTCCTGAGCTCAAGCAATCCGCCCGCCTCAGCCTCCTAAAGTGCTAAGATTTCAGGTGTAAGCCACTGCGCCCAGCCACAAAATTTTTAAATGTCATTCCAAAGAACCATCTATAATGAAATGTGAAGTTATGTTAAATACATATGTTTAGAAGATACAATGTAACTTTCTAGTTTCTATTTCCACTGTAATGTAACTAACTTCAATTATGAATAAAATTCTACATAGGTTTCCATCTCAGGATTTTTGTTCTCTTTAAAGTTACAAAAATTGGCCGGGCATGGTGGCTCACACCTGTAATCCCAGCACTTTGGGAGGCCGAGGCATGTGGATCACCTGAGGTCAGGAGTTCGAGACCAGCCTAGCCAACATAGCAAAACCCCGTCTATACTAAAAATACAAAAATTAGCCAGGTGTGGTGGCGGGCGCCTGTAATCCCAGCTACTTGAGAGGCTGAGGCAGGAAAATCGCTTGAACCCGGGAGGCGGAGGTTGCAGTGAGCCGAGATCGTGCCACTGCACTCCAGTCCGGGTGACAAGAGCAAAACTCTGTCTCAAAAAAAAAAAAAAAATTTACAAAACTCATTTAGAAAATGTATGAGGCCAGACGCGATGGCTCATGCCTGTAATCCCAGCGCTCTGGGAGGCCAAGGCGGACAGACCACTAGGTCAGGAGTTCGAGACCAGCCTGACCAACATGGTGAAACCCTGTCTCTACTAAAAATACAAAACTTAGCTGGGCGTGGTGTCGCACGCCTGTGATCCTAGCTACTCAGGAGCCTGAGGGAGGAGAATTGCTTGAACCCAGGAGGCAGAGGTTGCAGTGAGCTAATACGGTGCCACTGCACTCCAGCCTGGGTGACATAGTGAGACTCTGTTTCAAAAAAAAAATGCATATGAAACACAAAAAGCTGGGTGTGGTGGCTCACACCTGTAATCCCAGCACTTTGGGAGGCCGGGGGGGGGGGGCAGATCACCTGAGTTCAGGAGTTCGAGACCAGCCTGACCAACATGAAGAAACCCCATCTCTACTAAAAATACAAAATTAGCCAGGCATGGTGGCGCATGCATGTAATCCCAGCTACTCAGGAGGCTGAGGCAGGAGTATCATTTGAACCTGGGAGGCGAAGGGTGCCATGAGCCGAGATTGTGCCATCACACTCCAGCCTGTGCAACAAGCACGAAACTCCATCTCAAAAAAAGAAAGAAACACAAACAGTTGCCAATGTGAAAACTACTCAATAAGATTTAATAAAAATACCATATTTGGAAAAATTTTTTGTCTTTTTTTAGCTGGGATTACAGGCGCCCGGCATCATGCCTGGCTCATTTTTGTATTTTTAGTAGAGAAGAGGTTTCGCCATATTGGTCAGGCTGATCTCAAACTCTAGACCTCAGGTGATCCACCCACCTCAGCATCCCAAAGTGCTGGGATTGCAGGAGTGAGCCACTGCACCCGGCCTTAACTATTTTTCATTAAGGTAATGAAATAAGTTAACTTCTCAATACTTTCTTTTTTTTTTTTCTTTTTGAGACAGGGTCTTGCTCTGCCACCAGGCAAGAGTGCAGTGGCATGATCACAGCTCACTACAGCCTCAATCTCCTAGGCTCAAGTGATCCTCCCTCCTCTGTCTCCCGAGCAGCTGGGGCAACAGGTGCATACCACATGCAGCTAATTTTTTATTTTTTATTTTTTTGTAGAGACGGGATCTCACGATTTTGCCCAGACTGATTTTGAAATCCTGAGCTCAAGCTATCAGCCTGCCTCAGCCTACTGAAGTGCTGGGATTACAGGTGATGGCATCCAGCCTTCAATATTTTCTTGATGAAAGAGAAGACTTATTACTAGTCCTAGATTATTATGAAAAACAGCAATATCATGATTAAATTTTTGTTCCTCCTCCCAGTACTGTGTTCTATTAATTAGATAAGAAATGGGAATGAACAAAAATAGACATTAAATCAAATGTTTTTTACTTTCTAAAAGTCAAAAATTCTAATGCTTTGTTTACCTAATCTACAAATATTTATCTTACTACTTCTATAAATAATTGAATAAAATCTTAAAGGAACTAAAAGAAATAATGGGACTTTTCACTACACAAAAGATAATTACCTATACAATGAAATGAGGTGAAATTCTTAGAGCAAATGTCTTAAAGTATGTCATACAACAAGCTTAAGTTAATAATATGAAACAGTTAGAATGCCCCCACCCCAATAAAGTATGGACAAAATACGACTGGACAATTCACAAGAAACACAAATAATAAAATTCAAAAAAAGGCTGACGCGGTGGCTCATGCCTGTAATCCCAACACTTTGGGAGGCTGAGGCGGGTGGATCATGAGATCAGGTGCTCGAGACTAGCCTGGCCAACACAGTGAAACCCCATTTCTACTAAAAATACAAAAAATTAGTTGGGCGTGGTGCTGGATGCCTGTAATCCCAGCTACTTGGGAGGCTGAGGCAGGAGAATTGCTTGAACCTGGGACGCGAAGGTTGCAGTAAGCCAAGATCGCACCACGACACTCCAGCCTGGGCAACAGCGTGAGACTCAGGTCTCAAAGAAAAAAGAAAAAGAAATTCAAAATATTCGTTAGTCCTACTAATCAAGTAAGCAAAAACTTAGGACTAAAGTACTTTTTTTCAGTTGTTAAGATAAAGATTTTTATATATTATACATGACAAAGGTTTGATAAAACTAGACCTATCACACATTGCTAATGACATTACAAATTGATGCAGCCTTTTTAGGGAGTGGCATTTCAAAACTTTAATAAAAATAAGAGATCAGAGCTGGGCATGGTGGCTCATGCCTGTAATCCAAGCATTCTGGGAGGCCAAGGCAGGGGAGATCACTTGAGGTCAGGAGTTCAAGACCAGCCTGGCCAAAATGGCGAAACCCTGTATTTTTAGTATTCTACTAAAAATACAAAAATTAGTCAGGCGTAGGCCAGGCGCGGTGGCTCACACCTGTAATCCCAGCACTTTGGGAGGCCGAGGTGGGCAGATCACGAGGTCAGGAGATCAAGACCATCCTAGCTAACTCGGTGAAACCCCATCTCTATTAAAAATACAAAAAATTAGCCGGGCATGGTGGCAGGCGACTGTAGTCCCAGCTACCTGGGAGGAGGCTGAGGCAGGAGAATGGTGTGAACCCAGGAGGTGGAGTTTGCAGTGAGCCAAGATCACGCCACTGCACTCCAGCCTGGGCAACAGAGCGAGACTCATCTTGAGCGAGACTCATCTCAAAAAAAAAACAAACAGCAACAAAAAAAATTAGCCGGGCATGGTAGCACACCTATAATCCCAGCTACTTGGGAGGCTAAGACAGGAGAACCGCTTGATCTCAGGAGGCGGAGGTTGCAGTGATCGGTGGCCATAGAAGCCCTCCTGAGCAGCAGGCAGAACAGAATCCGCTATAGCAATCAGCCTGCCGGAGAAGCCTCTGCCCCTTTGGCCTGAGGTTCCACTTTCCCCAGGTGACACCATGGGCAGGTGGGCTGAAGAAGTGGGAAGGTCAAATCAACTGGCCCAGCCAGGATGCCTCTTTGATGATACAAGTGATACCGGTCTAAGCCTCGCCTCTTCCACAGGGGAAACTAGGTGGCCCAAAGGGTGCCCAGAGGCAGGGGACCTGCCACAGCAGCCACCTTCCTGAGAGGTTCCCTTTCTTTCCCTTGGTGAACTCCCTCCAACACACAGCTTGCCAGGAAAGCACCCTGTGTCTTACATGGGGGGATCCCACGACACCAAAACCCAGCCAAAGAAGCCTTTTGTCCCTTAAGGGTTATCACAACCAAAAACAAAAAGATACACAAATAGTAAGCCCCTAAATTCTGTTAAGAATGAAACAATGCTGCCACTCACACCTGGCTCAGATGCCAGCAGAAGGAGGGCACCCTCCAGAGACCAGAGACCACAGGAGAAAGGGGAGGACTCCTCCTTGCCCTGGCTGCACCTCCACCACTGTCACTGAGGCCTGCAGTACAGAACCAGCAGCTTCTTACCCACCCCAGGCCAGGCCGGGCCCCAAAGCTCTCCTACTTCCCCTTCCTGGCCCCTAGACTTGCTGCTGCTGCCACCATTAGTGCTGACACCAAAGGAATCAGCACTGCTGTCACCCTCCATGCACCTGCCCACCCTCCAAGGATC